>NC_000008.11:13193435-13496466 GCF_000001405.40 Homo sapiens | reverse complement strand
GGAATTAAAAGAACAGGAGGGGTTTTCACTTTTTACCCCATATAATCTTTATAAAAGATCACAGAATTATGTATGAAATGCATACACTGAACAGAAACACAAAAATAAAATAATATTTAGTATATAAGCTGAGGCATTTTCTGCATGGCACAAAACAACCTTTTATCTGCATTATTATTATGATTCTGCTTTTATAAATTATGAACAAATATTTATAAAGTTTTTCACACTATTAACAAGAGTTCTAATCTAGTTGATGTCTAATACTAGTGCAACTGGTTTAGAAGAGATAAGTTTTTTGGAGGCACACATGTGCCACATTTTCATGTCTGTAGGGAATGCAGTGGCAAATGGTCAAGTGGTAGAAAGAGTTTGCTAATTGTCTATATATTTAAAACTGTTTGTCAGCCATAGTAATACCCGTAAGATAAGAACTTGGAAAAGTGAAATCAATTAAGGCTAATATCATTTTAGTTATGGAATTGTAATCAGCTCATTATCTGATAATCATGTGATTGAATCAAATCCTTCAATAAATTTGTGCACATTGATTTCTTTTGTCAAGATCACATCAAAGTTCTAAGACCTGAAGAAAAAAATAAAAGAGCTTATAAGGGGGATCTTCAAAATGTATTGAAATAGTGCTCTAGAGATATCATTGTACTTTTAATAAAAATTATCCTTCCTTGAAGCCCATAAATCTTAGCAGGCATTCATCGTTTTGCAAAGCTTAGTTTTCTTAGTTTCCGATGATATTTCAGACTACCAGGGTTTAGTCACACGTATATTTATTAGGAGTCTCAATTGGAGGGGATTACATTTGTAGTATATGTACAAGTATATACCTTTATTTTTAGTATATATGTAGTATATAGGGGATCACAAATATTGACCTTTTAAGCCAATAATTCCTCTAAATAGGATGAAATATATAATGAAATTGAAGCCACTGATATCAAAGGAAAACCAAACAAATTGTGAGCAAATGTTAGTGAATGTGCCATAAGGTTGGGTGACATATGACCAGCACTCAGGGCCTGGCTGGTCTCTGGGGTGAGGCGGCTGGTTAAAAGCAATTCTGAGACAAATTCCAAAGTAGTCTGGAGGAGGGAGACAGTCTAAGAAGTGGTCTCTTTAAACCAGATGAGATGTGAAGATGGAAAACATTTAGGGAAAGACTTGAGGTTAGACATTTTTTCTTAAAGAAGTGGGTTACTAATTAGAGAGAGTACAAAATTCAGTCTTCTGTAAAGACTACTTAAATAGTTCTGAATTTTTTGAATAACCATAATAATTATATAAATGTCTGAACATATGTTTATTTGCTCACATAAGACAAGAAATAATCCATATTACAAAGCAAAATAAACTCCAAAAAAGATGCAAAGATAATCTGAACTTTAAGAAGACACCTAATTCTACATTCCAACAAAAACCTTATATTCCAAAAACAAATTAAATGAATGTTAGGGTCTTAGTTTATCCCTCAGGTTTGTGTGTGTTTGTTTATTTCTTTGAGATGGAGTCTTGCTTCCTTACCCAGGCTGGAGTGCAGGGGTGTGATCTCCGCCCATTGCAACTTCCGCCTCCTGGGTTCAAACAATTCTCCTGCCTCAGCCTCCTTAGTAGCTGAGATTACAGGAGTGCACCCTCACATCTGGCTAATTTTTATATTTTTAGTAGACATGGGGTTTCGCCATGTTGGCCAGCCTGGTCTCAAACTCCTGACCTCAAGTGATCCACCTGCCTCAGCCTCCCAAAGTGTTGGGATTACAGGTGTGAGCCACTGTGCCCGGCCTATATCTCAGTATTAATTAGGCTATAGATTTGGCTGCTATCTCAGAAAGCATAATAGTGGTTCAAATGACATATTTCTCTCACACGCATAAAATAGGGATAAGAAGTTCTGAACTAATATATAGGCTCTATGCCTTCAGAATCCACACCCCTTTTATCTACCCTCTCTGCTCTCGAGTCCTCCTCTACATTCAAGTCAGTGGGAAGGCAAAAGGCTACAGGGGTGATCGCACCCTGTGTACAGGCAGTACCCAGGTCGTCGGCTTCACTGCAATTTCATGGGCTAGAATTTAGTTGCATGGGCATATCTAGCAATAAAGGAACTGACCATTGGAATCTGCATTCTGGACAAGCATATGTTTGCTAAAAGTTCTATTATCAAAGACGTAAGGGACAATTTATATTGAGAGATAACTCATAACATAAATATTGAGGAATACACTCTAACATAAATATATTCCAATATATCATGACACGTTGTGAAAGAAATAACCAAGCTGCATATATGTTCTGTGGTATTCTGTATAAACACTAGGTGCTTTAATTTCATGCAACAGAATACCTTTCCTCATTATGAAACTATTTGATATATTAAGTGATGTTTATCAGATGCTATATCATTTCTCATAGAAAAACTGTCCAGGAATAAAACATTATATTGTACATACTGTACTTTACATCTCTGGAAAACATAATACATTGTCTATGACTGATAAAAATCAAATATTTTCTCCTTATTCTATATTTAAAATATGCAAACATTTGGTAAAAGGACTCCCATACCTGAAATGATACTCTCTTTCCTTTCTATCCCCTGAATGCTGATGGGGGAGACTTGTAACAAGGGGAGGATAACATTGACCAATGGGTGACATAAAGAAGATAGTAAATTGTGCAGAAAATGGAATGAACCAAAGTAGGAGGCTGACTGGGACAATATAAAAGGAAAGGAACTATTTAAAGAAAATAAGTTCTAGAAAATAAGTTTACAATGTAAAGAGGTATAGAATATATTGTAATTATATTTAACAGTATAACAAGTATTGTAACTATAGTTAACAATAATACATAGTTTCAAATAGCTAGAAGAAGGATATTGAACGTTCTCAGCACATATGTTCTCAGACATGATCAATGTTTGGAACGATGGCTCTTCTAATTACCCAGATCTGATCACTAAACATTGTATGTATCAAAACATCATCTATGTGCCCCATAAGATTATAAACAATGTTTATGTATCAACTGAAAAATTTTTAATTAAAAAGATAAATTAAAACAAGAAATGAAAACCTAAAAGATAGTTAAGCCAAGCCTCCAGACTAATGTAGCAAGATATGTGGAATGAAAGCAAGGACAATGAAGGAATTAGCTTGTGAATAAGCTTAGTATCAGCCGACAAGGAGGGAAGGAATGTAAAGCAGGGTAGGTATATATAGCTCTGCAGATAAATTCATAATAACAGTATTATTTTACACTAAGCTTGCACTGGTTTTAATGACACAGGCCTGTTGAGAAGATTGTGCTTCCCAAATCCCCTTGTTTTGACACTTGTTTCCCTAGGCTAAAGACTGGAGCTGGCAATGAAACTTATTTCCAAGTGGTTAGTTGGTGTGTAAATTCATAACAAGTTCCTGTGACAGTTCTTATCCAACATATTCTTAGTGAGTTTTGTGTCCCAGGTAAAGCCAATAGCTTTGTAAATAGCTTATTTTGTGCTTCATTGGGCCACTGAAAACTATCAAATAATTTCATGCCATTTAACCTGGTTTTTGCCTTATAAATAACCAGAAAGCCAAAAATGTATTTGCAGATATTTGGGGCTCAAATATATCGTCTCATGACAAATAAATATAAGTCTCCTAAAACCAACTTGAAATGCAAAAACATTTAATTGTAAGATAAATGAAAACGCTAGGTATAGCGTCTGGTAAAATCAATCAATAAATATTGAGCATTTTCAATATCCCAGGTGCTATCCTATGTGCTTGGTCCACCACCATGAGCCAGTTAGCAGACTTTATTCCATTGCAAAGCATCTAGTCACTGAAATCCCACTGGAGATTCCAAGCAGGGCTTCTGTTTGAATGACGTATAAGGCTGGCACTGAGAGAGGAGAGAGTAGTGAGAGAGGTGGAGGGAGAGAGAAAACAGAGAGAGAGAGAGAGACAGAGAGAGTAAGTGATAGAAAAAAAAGGACAGGCTAAAATAGGATACCAAAAATAGCACTGGTCATTTGTAAAGAAAAAAATAAATACAAGTCTTTGACAAAAAGTGAATATGTAGCAGGCTGGAATCAGATTCAATTTCAACAGGATGATGTGGTTATCACAAGCAGGAGTTTAGCAAAGAGACAGGGAACATGAACTTGACTCCAGAGATTATACAGCTGATGGAGCTAAATCATTGCTATTTTTTAACATCAGGTGATGACCAGAGCCAGCCTTATGGGCTGTATCTCCAACAGGCTAGAGGTGGAACCCTCAGATAAGCTCATATTTCAAGATCCTCAAATGTTTTACTTTTTGGGGGTGTTTAATTTCCCCAGTTTTCTCAGTCAAGTTAGTTGCTCAGTTCTCTCTATACCCACAGAAGACTTATTACTGACATGATGTATATATTCCTACTGTAATCCTATGTATAATGTATAATAAACAAATTCATTGGAATCCAATTGATTCCACCATTGCTAACTAAAATGTAGCTCACTGAGCACAATTATTCAACCTTGTGTCCGCAGTGCTTAGAACCTGTTCATAAATGCTAGAACGAATGCATGTCTTCGTTGTGGTAAGATATTTATTTTCAGAGGATAATGCTAAGTGTCATGAACCCAAGTTATAAAGATGCAGAAGAACTTAAGTCATACAACCACCACCATTGGCCACATATCCCCTCTCTGTTCTGCCTGCTAGTTCTGTGCTAAATCAGGACATGAGGGAAGAAGAGGGACAAGGGAATCATGTAAAATCTGGATCTCTGAGGAAACCTTCAAGACTGAGATCATTATTACACTGTGCCACAAAAGAACTCACTAATCATAACTAATTAGTCAATAGCAAACGATGAGTAGTAAATGTTATCCCGAAGATACTTAGTTGTATCCAGAGAGGAGTGGACAAGGATGAGTGTAGAAAAGGAAACTGTTAGAATATCCATTCACGTATATTTTATCATTTAATTTTATGTATGTTCTATAACATACATATTAACACAAAAGTATATGTGTTATTGTTTATAAGTAAGTAACATACACATGCTTGCAGGGGAGTCCATATCAAAAATGTCAGAGGCCACTGGTCTAGAAATTCCATAGCTTTTCTGGGTAATGTCACTATGAGGAAGTTGGGGGTGGAGTGGAGAGAAGATGGCAGGAAGAATAGAATAAGAGATTGAAAGACAAATGATTGGGGAGATTGAGAAGCATTTGTTTAGAGAGTGTCAAATGCTGACAAATTCTTTTTTAATTTTCATTGTGAAAATGACATAAAGTTGGGAGATTTGCTGCCAGATGCCTTTAAGGCTATATATATATAAAAAAATATTAAATCTGAATATATATATAAAAAATATTAAATTTGAATATGTATATATTCAGATTTAATTGCCCTCACTCAGAATATATATTCTAAATTTATATATATATATATTCTGAATTTATATATATATGTGTGTGTGTGTATATATATATTTATATAAATTCTGAATGAGGGTAATTAAACCTGAACGTTCCTTGTTCCAGATATTATTGGGAAAAAAAATTAGTTACGATGTATGAGGGGCCTCTGATCTAATCAGTGATTTGAACCAAAATCGCACATTTACATCAGCTGTTAACAGGATCATTAATGAGTTCACATTAACCCAACATCAGCTTTTATTGGAGCAAGAATTAATACACTTTTATGATGTTATTTTAAATAATGAATGGTTACTTCAGAGCCAATTGTGCATTGGAGGCCATCGTAATAGTGAAACTGATTTAGCTTGTTCCTCATGGATTTCTGTTACTATAAACCATGACCAATTTATTAATCTTTTAATACCAACAAACAACCATAGGTTTTGGCTGCCTCCCTCGAAGAAATGCCAATATCCACACAAGTTGGGATAAATCACATAACCTATGTAACAGAGTCCTGCCTCTTATCTGGGTACCAGACACAGTGGTGCCAACAGGATCTGTTTTTCTGGCTCATGTTCTTACAAATAATATACTTATCCCTTGCTGCCAACAAGATCTCTATTCTACAGATAATTTTCTAACCGTAAAGAAAATTATAGTGCTATTTTAAAGATAACCTCACCAATTTCAAAGGAAATATAAGTAACTGGGAGAAATAAACTTTTTTCTTAGTTCTAGTTCTGTATTGACATAGGAATAAAACTAGTGATTAACGAACCTCTTCAATTTTTTCACTTCTATTTTTTGAGCCAATGAAACTTCAAAAGGGTTTGCAGCTTTTTATGCACATTAAAAATTAACCCAGAGATTTTTGAAAATATTGAAATAGCATCATTATTTGGTCTAGAAAATGAATGGCTTGGACTGAACTTGATTTTCCAGCCAAGGGAGTAAGCTGTAATGAGGAAAAAAAGCACAACCTAAAGTGGGGGGTGTATTTAACCTTTGTGAGCCTTTCATGCCCCTGGAAAATGGAGAAAACAGTCTCGGCCTTACAAGATTGTTAGGAACATTAAGTAAAATGGAAAATCTCATTAAACATCCACATAGTACAGCACCTAGAACAATGGTATTTTTTAACCAGAATTCGAGATGAGGATCTGACAGCCAAATAATTGGAGTGCAGAATTATTATATCTGAAAATAATGCAAATTCTAGTAGAATCTATATTCACAGCATATATAAGCAGCCAGCATAAGTAGCTTCTTCAGTGGGAAATTTCTGGACTCCTGCACTGCCCAGGGTTAAGTGTCCACAGATTCTTCACTATGCCTAGAACAAACTAAAGAAGCCAACAGCCTCTGAAGCCAAACTGCCTGGGTTTCAGTCCTGCTTCCCTCACACGTATCTTTCTAATCTTGTAAGTTACTTAATCTCTCTATGGCACAGTTTTTTTTTTTCATTTGTATAACAGGATTCTCCATCTATTGTCAGAAATATTAAATGAGTTAATATATACAAAGTAGTTAAAAGTGTCTGTGTACACATAGTAAACACCTTGTGACTTCAGCTATTCTTAATAGTAGCAACATTTTGTGTGTGTGTGTGTGTGTGTGTGTGTGTGTGTGTGTATGGTGTGTGTGTTTTACTAAATTGCCCTAATTATAGATCTGAGAGTTTCTTAGAAAAATCTCGGGGCCGGGGGCGGGGACTGACAAATTCAAGAGAGAACTGAGAAAGTATGTCAACCCACATGGACATCTGAGGCATCAAGTTTTATCATTAAATAGTAGCACTGGCCAGGCACGGTGGCTCACGCCTGTAATCCCAGCACTTTGGGGAGCCAAAGCAGGCAGATCACCTGATGTCAGGAGTTCGACACCGGTCTGACCAATATGATGAAACCCTGTCTCTATTAAAATACAAAAATTAGCCAGGCATGGTGGCATGCACCTGTAATCCCAGCTGCTCGGGAGACTGAGACAGGAGAGTCACTTCAACCCAGGAGGCAGAGGTTGCAGTGAGCCAAGATCACGCCACTGCACTCCAGCCTGGGCAACAAGAGCAAAACTGCATCTCAAAAAATAAAAATAAAAAATAAAAAAAATTGAGCCTAGAATATGCATTCGTTGGCTAAATATTTATTATCTTCTCTTTCCCATGCACTTTGCTATGTGTGGTGTAGAATATGAATAAGCATATATGTGCCTTCTTACCTAAAGGTGTTTACACATTAGTAGGGGCAATGTAACACACAAATAACTAACTTTCATATTAAGCGTAATTAACTTCGGTAAGTTTTGAACTACAAGTAAAGTTATATCTTAATTAGGTTTCAACATAATTAAAGTTAGAAAGTATTCAGATCGCCAGAATTTGGGCTAAGGGAGGATCCCTTTCCAGATGGGGAGGTCAGAAAAGTCTTCGCTCAGCTGGTGTCTGGGCTGAGCTTTAAAGGATACATTTTAGATTTTGCACTTGTGGGAATAAATGAGGGAAAGGGATCTCTTTGTGGCATTTTAACTGTTCTGTTTTCTGTTTCTGTCTTCAAACTTCTATTTTTTAGCTACGTAATTTCAGGGCTCACCATATTTTAAACAATTATCTAGATTTCAATATACTAATGAGTCCTGAAAATGATGCTGGCTTTATAGCTAATTTATAGTTAATTTGCTCCCTAGCTAGTATTTGATTAATTAATAAAAAAGCTAAATGAAAATTGTGGAAATGTGCTTTGTGACTAAGGCATTAGCAGGAGATATATTAACAAAATGGTTCAACTATGAAATAATGATATTAGGTATTCATTCCCACTAATTCTCAATTCCCTCCCTGATACATAAGAATCATGTACGGAATGTTTTTAATACACTGTTTTATATAGTTTTGAACAGTTATAACAAGGTCAGCATAATTGACTGAAAGCATGAGAAGTAAGAAGGCATGAGAATAATTCCTCTTTCATTAAAACTTCAATGCTGATCATATTTCATATTCTACTCACATACTGGCCTTAGGCATAATTAGAAATTTTCTGTAGTATCACTTTGAAGAGGTCCCCAAAGGTATTTTAGTCAGAGTGTAAAGCAGGCAAGAAATGTACTTCATAAATATCTGATAAAATGTAAAATATCAATGATCGCCTTCTTTAAGTGTAAAACAAGAGATTTTCAGGCCTGGTGCAGTGGCTCACGCCTGTAATCCCAGCACTTTGGGAGGCTGAGGCGGGTGGATCACAAGGTCAGGAGTTCAAGACCAGCCTGGCCAAGATGGTGAAACTCTGTCTCTACTAAAAATACAAAAATTAGCCGGACATGGTGGTGGGCACCTGTCATCCCAGCAACTCAGGAGGCTGAGGCAGAGAACTGCTTGAACCCGGGTTGGGGAGGTTGCAGTGAGCCGAACTCACGCCATTGCACTCCAGCCTGGGCAACAGAGTGAGACTCCGTTTCAAAAAAAAAAAAAAGGAAAACATTTTCTAACTCTAAGAACAGAAAATGGGAGCATGCAGACCCTGTGAGTTCAACAGCTATGCTGTTCGTCTTCTCTTGTTATGGGACAAACTTGGAGTGGGAAAGATTAGTGCTGAGGTTCAGTGTACTAAGTCTTAATTTTTACCATTATTGTATAAATTTTGAGACTGAATGTCAATTTAGGGCACAAAATTCATTGATGAATTTCCAAATGACATAAACTTTTTCTTAAGAGAATTATGACATGTAGATAGCCCAAACCTATGGCAGGAATATTAAAATAAATTTACTTAACAAAAATATTATGGATGTCCATTCATTTTCAGTATCTGTCATAATCATCCACAACTGGAAATGCAATATTTTGCTTCTTGCAAAAGTATACTCTTTGTTGAAACCTGGAGTAGAAGAGGTGACAAGCACAAAAGAACCAAGCGGTCACTACTGCAGGCACTACATTAGTAAGTCGACTAATTGTGCTCTGATTCCACATTTCCAAAGGACTTCCAAAAGGAAACCGCAGCAGACTTCCCTCAGAGGGCCGGTGGATAATTTGCCTCACCCCATCCACAGAAGCACAGGGAGATGGGACTTTGAGTCAATATCACAGCTGACCAGTACCTACATTAAGAAACAATCTGCCAATTTCTTGTGTACAGAATGATTATTTCTCACCCTATGTATTTGCTGTTGTGTAGTTGGGACTTTAACTTCCAATCCATTCATCAAGGACATCCCTTGCATTTTGCCTTCGTTTTGTTGTAGGATAATCACAAGATCTTGAATATCCTGTCCTATGTTCATTTATCCAACAAGCAAGTAATTGCTCAGTGGACCATGCTAGGTGTCATCTTACAAACAAATATGGATGAAACACCCAGAATTTGCATTTCATAGGTTCATGGAATGTTTCAGCTGGAAAAAACTAAATACCCTTGCATTTCATTTGAACTAAAATAAAATGTGTGGGTATTGACAAGACCAAGGAGCTGTAACTTAGAATGTTAATAGTGGTATGTCGTGGTACCAGTGTGAAGTTGCTGCCCCACAGAGAAAATGCTGAGTTGAACATTATTATGGAAACTCTATAATTTAAAAGTAATCAGAAAGAATTGGCCAACATCGAAATGTAACACAAACCTAATATTAAGGGTTTTCTTAAATGATGAAAGGAAATGTCTTATGCCTCTTTCAGACATTTGTCTACTTTGTGTGCGGGGGAAAAAAACATCTGAGAATTTAACTGCCATTTCAGGTATATGCTGACAAAAACATAAAATGGATTTTTTAAAGCAAAATGGAATGGAGTCTAAAATGAGCTTTGTTTTTTCTACGTTTCTCCTGGTTTCTAGTTTTGCAATAAAAATTTGCTTTTTCCTAAGGCATGAATTTTCATTTCATTCGGTTATTCTGTACTCCTTCCCCATGGTCAACATAGACTTTTATCATAAATGTGATCTCTGTCCACTTAAAAGTTACAAAGTGCTTTCTCTCAGATGTTCACAGTGTTTGGATTGAGGCATGATAAATTTTAAACAAGCTGAAAAGTATTTCAAACAAGTCCCATGCCATGAGCAATTGTCAAGAGGGCAGAGGATAAAGGAAGTTAGCTAGCGGATTTCTGTGTACTCGTCATGCAAATTTTTCTTTTAAACATGTCATTGATCACATAAAGCACTAAATTTTTATGCTTAAAATTCTGCTTAGACTAGAAACAAAAAGCATGCTAAGTTGTGCATGAGCCTTTCCTGGGCAACTCAAAATGGAAATAAATCTATTTTTGACATTTCATACCCGATAGTTATTGGAATCCTAAATCTTCAAGCCTGGCCATTGAGAGAATGTATCTTCTGTTAGAGAATAAGTGAACAATAGTTGTGTGGGTTATGTGAAGTCTGTAGATTACGAGATTTAATTTCTAACTTTCACATACGTCTTTCCATTTTTAAGAGGACCAGATTTACTCAGGAGATGTCAACAGATACGTTACTACATTGATACAGTGAGTGATGCATACAAACTGCTGCCCAAGATTTGCACCTCCAGTATTCCCTTTTAAAAACATGGCTGTGCAGTGCCAAGCTAGAGTTCCAGTTACTGCACAGAATGTCACAGCAAAATGTGGTATACATAAGGTCACTTGAGACAGCAGAAAATAGGGTAGGGTGGCAAGTAGCAACAAGAAGTGCATGTTCAAACAAGGACAATGCTACTGTCTCTTTTCAAGCTATATTGAAGTCATTTTAAGCCTATTGTTTGTTTATGATGAGTGAATAAAACCAAGTATTGTGGCTAACAAAGATGGCTACACTATGGTTTTCTATACTGCATCAGGACTTGGGAAAGAAAAATAAAAGTCAGTCTCTATGTAGGAGAAAATAGTAGAAGTGTGTTAGAATTCCAAAATCCCTGCTATTAAAAGAAAGTATAAAGGAGCTACGAAGCCATGTTTAAAGTACCAAAGATTTAAAATAGCCACCACACTTAAGGTGAATCATAACCTTGTCTAGGGATTTTTATTGTTGTTCTATATTTCAAATCCTGGAGAGCTGTACTTGACATAGCATTTTCAAGGAATGGGTACCATTTCAACCACTTCATAAGTGCTTAATTCTGGAAGAATTATTAGCAAATAAGCAAATATTTTGTCATAAGTCTCCTGGTCCAACCACTGTGAGTCCCACGTAATCTCTCTTCTGCTTGCTGGTCATAGCGCACATCCCTGTCATGGTCAGTAGGTACCCAGGTGAGAAGGACGAGATGGACTTTTTCTGTATATATGACAGATGGCCTCCAGGGACTGTTTATGTTCAAAGTGACATATTTACCTTGCCTACTGTTGCTGCCATTAGTTCCTTCTGGGCAGAATTTCATTGCCACTCTGATAACACCCTTCTGCATTTTAACAAGGATGTTGTGAAACTATGAAACCAAGAAAACTAAACAGATACATAGAATCAAGAATGAGTTGTAACCAATAGCCATCACTCGTGTTCGGTTCCATCCTTTCCTTAAGGAAGGAGTTTAAAAGCCAATTTACTTTGAAGCAAAGCAAGTTAAAGTATATCCATCGCTCCAAAAACTAAAGAGAATCAGTCCAGGCATACAAGACTTATTTCAGAAATTAAAAATGTTTATTGAGAACGGCTGCTAGATTCATATTGTTATCTGTCCATATGTACCTGTGGGCTAATCATAGGTAGAGAGAGTTAAGCTAAAAAACAGAGATTGAGAATGAATCTTCACTTTAGAAACACTGTAAAAATGCATCTGTAAGCTTAGTCTTATTTAACAATTCTAATGAACATAATAATTTTACATCTTCATGATCTCTCATATCCATTTCCTTTATTCTCTACCATCTTTTCCTCAAATTACTGCTACGTTTTCTTAACTGGCCTCTTGGCCTTTGGTCCTAACCCCTTCCAATTCATATTCCACACTGCAGCTCAGATTGTCTTTATTTCATTATTTACTTGTTTATTTATTTTGAGACAGAGTCTCACTCTGTTGCCCAGGCTGGAGTGCAATGGCATGATCTGGGTTCACTGCAACCTCTGCCTCCCAGGTTCAATCGATTCTCTTGCCTCAGCCTCCCTAGTAGCTAGACTACAGGCGATGCTACCACACCTGGCTTTTTTCTGTACTTTTAGTAGAGATTTGGGTTCACCCTGTTGGCCAGGCTGATCTCGAACTCCTGACCTCAAGTGATCCAGCAGCCTCGGCCTCCCAAAATGCTGGGATTACAGGTGTGAGCCACCACACCCCGCCCGAGATTATCTTTAAACAATGCAAATCTGTACTTCTCCCTTCTATTGCTTCAAAATTCCAATATGGAAGACATGGTTTTCAAGGACAGTCACAATCTGGGCCCTGTTCACCTATGCCATCTCATCTTCACCTTCTCCTCATCCCATACTTTACAGCAAACTTAAACTTTTTCCAGTTACCTCTCACACACTCTCTCTCCCTGAAAGCTCTCCCAGCTCACCTCCCTGCCCTTGCCTAACTAGTTTTTGGTTATTCTTCAAGTTTCTTCTTACCTGATACTTCACTTAAAATGTCTTCCCTGAACCCCTCAAAAACTGAAATGGGGCCACCTTCTAGGTGTCTCTGTGCATCCTGCAAGTACGTGCCCTAGCATAGCACCTGTCACACTGGATTGGAACCATCTATTCACTTATCCATACTGTAGTGATTGAATTGTGGCCCCTCAAAAGGTACATGCACATTGTAACCCCTGGAACCTGCAAATATGATCTTGTTTGGAAAAAGGGTCTTTGCAGATGTAATCAAGTTAAGGATCTCAAGGTGAGATCATCCTGGATATCCCAGGTGGACCCTCAATCTAATGACAAGCGTCCTTACAAGAGACAGAAGAGGAGCAGACATGGACACACAGACAAGGCCATGTGAAAACAGAAGCAGAGATTGGACCGATGCAGCCATAAGTAGAGGAGCGCCTGAAGCCACTAGAAGCCAGAAGAGGGAAGGAAAGATTCTGCCCTAGAGCCTTCTGAGAAAAGCACAGCCCTGCCAACCTACTTTGACTTCTGGCCCCTAGAATTGTGAAAAAAATTCCTGTTGTTTTAGAACAGTTAAGTTTGTAGTGATTTGTTAGAGCAGCCTCAGGAAACTGGTATACAAACCTCCAATTCAAACTGTAAATTCCTTGAAGACAGGGACCGTCACACTCATTACTTAGTCACCATTCTCTCCTTAGCAGCTAGCATATGCCCAGTGTACAGCATGCATTTATTAAATTTCTGTTGAATGAGTGATTGAGTGAAGACAAGCACGGCACTTCAAGCATGATCTTATGTCACAATAATCATTAATCCTATTCTCTCACTGTCTCTCTGTTCCAATTAAATCGCGTAATCACGTCAGGCTATATTGACTTATCTTAAGTTCTACCTAATATCTCTCAAGAAATGCTAATAAAAGGTAACTATGACGTATAGTTAATTACATGGGGACATCTCTACATTAAATGTACCTTATTTTGCTTGATAGAAAACATGATTTCTATAGCTATAGTTTTAAGAAGTCAAGATTCCTGAATCAATTCCAAGCTTTAAATTATTTCACCGCTTAACCTGAATAAAGACACTTCTAGTCAGACAGCATTGCTCTATTCATCAACTATTTTTATCTTTTTAATATGTAAATGATACATGCACATGGCAAAAGAAATTATAAAATGAAAAGTTAAACTCTCTCTCTCTGACTTGTCCCATTCTTGTAGACACCATGATTAACTGTCTCCAATCTGTGCATTAGATATATGACTAGAAATACATGCTTCCATTTATATACATACATATTAATTAATGATATTACTTCAAATTTATAATGTCCACCTGTGAAAGATGGGGTATTTCCTTTGTTCATTTAACAAATATTCTTTGACTGCTGTATTCATTTTCTTGGGCTGTCCTAACAAAGCACCTTAAATTGCATGCTTAAAAGAACAGAAAGTCATCGTAATTGTGGTCTAGAAGTCCCAGATCAAGGTGTGGGCAGGGTTAGCTCCTTCAATTGGCTCTGAAGGAGAATTGGTTCCTTTACACTCCCCTAGCTTCTGGTGCTTTGCTGCTAATCTTTGGCATTCTTTGGCTTGAAGACTTGTAGGTATATTATCTTTCTATAGGCCTTTATGTTGACATGGGCTTCTTCGTGTGTGTGTGTGACTATGTCCATATTTCCCCCTTTTTAAGGACATCAGTTGAGTTGGAATACTGGCCTGTCCATCTCTAATATGACCTCATCACAACATGACTAGTTACATCTACAAAAACCCTATTTCCAAATAAAGTCACATTGTGAGGTACTGGGGATAACATTTCAACATAAGAATTGGGAGAGGGGTCCAGTTCAACCTATAACCAGTGCTTATGTTTTGTGCCAAGCACAGTTTCATATAACAGTACAACGGGGCTGTAAATTTTCTATCAGAAACTTACATTCTAATGGAGTCTGGTATTCTCATACTTGCTCAAAGCTTCTCCTTCATAACAACGGACGTTTATTATTTATGTCTTTTTTCTTCTTCCAGTATTTAGCTTTATGAATGTCAGTTATTTATTTTATTTAAAATGCTTATTCTTCTGTTTGTTTGTTTTATTTATTTATTTACTTTTTGAGACAAGGTCTCACTCCCATCACCCAAGCTGCAGTGACTGGCACAATCATGGCTCACTGCAGCCTCAACTTCCCAGACTCAGGTGATTCTCCCACCTAAGTCTCTCAAGTAGCTAAAACTACAGGCATGCACCACCATGCCTGGTTAAGATTTTGTATTTTTTTGAGGAGATGGGGTTTTGTCATATTGCCCAGGCTGGTCTCAAACTCTTGAGCTCAAGTGATCCAGCTGCCTTGGCCTCCCAAGTTACTGGGATTACAGGCGTGAGCAACTGCACCCAGCCTATTTGTTGATTTATTCATTTTTAATATTTTAGTTAAATTTATTGTCTTTCCATTTCAAAAGCGTAGAGAATTATGATCTCTCATACTCATTTCCTTTATTCTCTGCCATCTTTTCCTCCAATTACTGCTACATTTTCTTAACTGGCCTCTTGGCCTTTGGTCCTAACCCCTTTCAATCCATATTCTACACTGCAGCTCAGATTATCTTTACTTACATATTTATTTATTTATATATTTTGAGACGGAGTCTGGCTCTGTTGCCCAGGCTGCAGTGCAATGGCGTGATCTCAGCTGACTGCAACCTCTACCTCCCAAGCTCAAGCGATTCTCCTGCCTCAGCCTCCCTAGTAGCTAGGACTACAGGCAATGCTACCACGCCTGGCAAATTTTTTATACTTTTAGTAGAAATTGGGTTTCACCCTGTTGGCGAGGCTGGTCTCAAACTCCTGACATCAAGTGATCCCCTTGGTCCACCTCTCTTCTCCTTCCTACTGTGTATCTTAATTTTTGTTGGTTGTATGAATTTTGCATTTTTACGATTTTAGCATATGTATTCTATCTAATGACTATTATCATTCTGTGCTTCACCTATAGGATAAAGATTCAAAGACCATAGCAGTCTTTATGATACATAAATATTCACTCCAGAACAAAGCAGTAAAATTGGACCCAAAGGAAGAAGATATAGTCTATCTTTAAAAGATCAACCAGGCAGGCATCAAGTTCTAAAAGATTTTCTTTTACGTTCTTTCTATTTTGTTCCTGTTTTCTATGTTATGCATCTTTCCCATGTCCATGTTCTTTATCTTTCTTATATTCTTATTTTTCTGGTTTACATATCTCCCTGAATAACTTAATCACATTGTCGTGCATATATTTTTAAGCTTTTATGGGTCCTTGTTTGGCTCATATTTTAACCAATAATCAAACATATTTAACTGTCTATGCTCTATTTTTTCCCTTGAGAAACTGGATGATATTTCTCAACTCTCCTGTGACCCAGTATTTTATATTAGAAGATCTATATGTCACACTGATGTCTGTCTTTTGTAAATAAGTTGTTTTGTTTGTTTTTGAGACAGGGTTTTGTTCTGTCACTCAGGTCGGACTGCAAGTGGCAAGAACATAGCTCACTGCAGCCCCCACCTCCTGGGCCCAAGTGATCCTCATGCGTCAGCCTCTGAAGTGTCTGGGCCTACAGACACACGCCACCACACAGGCTGATATGTATACTTTTCTTCTTTCTTTCTTTTTCTTTCTTTCTTTCTTTCTTTCTTTTTCTCTTCTTCTTCTTCTTCTTCTTCTTCTTCTTCTTCTTCTTCTTCTTCTTCTTCTTCTTTTCTTTCTTTCTTTTCCTTTTCTTTTCTTTCTTTCTGAGACAGATTCTTGCTGTGTTGCTGGGACTGGTCTCAAGTCTCAAGCAATCCTCCTGCCTCAGCCTCCCAAACTGCTGGGATTACAGGTGTGAGCCACCTTGCCCAACCAGTAGCTTGTTTTTAATTCTCTAGATAGTCAAGATATTTTTCCTCCCTAGAGTTATAAAAGTTATCAAAGAGCAGCTTTGTTTCTTTTGGATGCAACCTAATGTTAACTAAAATCTTTCAATCTGAGAAGCCATAACTTTTATCAGCTTCAGAAATATTCCTTCCAATATTTTATGAGTGTTGCCACCTCCCATTGTTTCTGTTGTTTCAGCCCAAAATTCCTATTAGATTTTTTTGTAATAACTTGTATCTATGTCTCTTAACTTCCACTCATTATGCGACCTTTTTTTGTATTTTTGCTTTGCTTATTGTGAGATCTTCTTGACTCACTGGACCAGATCAGCAGCTTGGTCTTCAGATATATCCATTTTATTATTCACTGTCCTTTGAAACATTTATTGTTGCAGTCATATTTTTAACTTTCTTATTTTCCTTCAGTTACCTAGTCAACAAACAAATATTAAGTGCTTAAAATGTACTGAGCACTCTTCCAGATGGAAGGGATACAAAATAACATCTTTTCTCCAAAGGACCTACTTTCTACAGGAGGGAAGCATAAAATAAAACAGTAAACCAACTAAGGGGTGGAATGAACTAATAAGAGAAAAGAATCAGAGTGGAATCCTAGAAGCTGGGTGAAAAAGCTGTTTCTGAAAGGAAAGTAAGATCAAATGTCTCAAATGCTATGCATAGACCCAAGTAGACCAGAAGAAAACTGACATTTGATAACAGGAGGCCAACAGGCCAGCTTGTTTAGGCAAGTTTTTGTGGGAGCATCTGCTTATTTTCAGTGGGTTCAAGAACAAAAAGGAGAACGAGAATTGAAGAAAGTGAGCAAAGTTATGTATTAAAAATTCAATAATTGCTATAAAAGAAAACAAAGAAAGCCAGAGAGGGATTTTTTTAAAATAATTGTATTGGGAGATATTTGAACATTATATTGGAAGCTGATAGAAATGATTCAGTAGAGGAAATATTATTGATACCTGAGGAGAGACAGTTCTAGCGGTGATAGCCTTGAACTGATGAGAAGGGATGGGATCCAGGGCTCGGAGGAAAGACTGGGCTTAGACTTTAGCTAAGAGTTCATCCCTTAACGGGATGTCTTGCATTTTTTAGCTATGAGTTCATCTTTGAACAGAAGGGCTAGACTTTAGCTAAGAGTTCATCCCTGAACAGGAGAGAAGGTGAAGAATATGCACTGACATAGATTGAATATGTGTCCCTGTCCAAATCTCATGTCGAATTGTAATCTCAAATGCCAGAGTTGGGACCTGGTGGGAGGTTTCTGGGTCATGGGAATGGATCCCTCAGGCTTGGTGATGCCTTGGTGATAGTGAGTGAGTTCTTCTGAGTTCTGATCGTTTAAAAGTGTGTGGCACCTCCACCTACCCCCTTCTCTCTCTCACTCACTCCTGCTTTCATCATGTGATGTGCCTGCTCCCCCTTCACTTTCCACCATGATTGTAAGCTTCCTAAGGCCTCCCTGAGCAGATGCCTATACCATGCTTCCTGTATAACCTGCAGAACCATAAGCCAGTTAAACCTCTCTTCTTTATAAATTACCCAGTCTCGGGTATTTCTTTATAGCAATGCGAGAACAACCTAATACATGGACGGTGTTCTCTGCCTGGTTTTCCCTAGTACCATGTTCATGTTTTACAAATGTAATATTTTCTCAAATCTCTCTGAAAATACTAATTACAGGGATTCTCTTAGAGGTTTTTTAATATGTTATTGGTATTACCTGAATCATTCCTTTTTGTGTAGCAGTCTGTTTCTCTACTATTGATTTTTTTTTTCTAACGATTTAGTGATCTTGGTTGATCTTTCCTAGTTATGACTAAAGAAAATTGGTTGGGTGGTTAGGATATGATTTCTCTATGACTGGTGTAGGAATATATTATTTATGTGTCTTCATTTCTCGTCTCCATCCCATCCAAATCCTCATCTCAGCATGTAGAAGTGATATGATAAATTGTTTGCCATCTCTCTGGATCCAGTATTCTCTCTTATACAAGCTCATTCTACACAGTCTAATCAGATTTAATCTTCCTAAGAAAGCATCATCACCAGATTATTTCCATTTGTAAAAGCACTAACCTATGTCTTGGTTTTTTATCAAATGTAGATCATATTTCCCAGCCTGCATTTTTAAATCCTCTGCGATTAGTCCTTGTTAAAATTTGAAGCCCTACTCTCACTACTATAGCAAAGTCTTATAGAAATACAATGTACATCCGTGCTCCTGGTCTCCCACGGGCTCTTACTGCTTCTCAGTAGTGGCTGTACATACCTGATTACCTCACACCAGCACTTACCGCGTAACTGTTTCTGTGTCTTCCACTTTCTTTAAATTACCAAAGCTACATCTTCCACGCTGTCTTCTTGAAGATATCTTCACTGAGGAAGGAAGAAAAATGAATGGGGATTAGTATTTTTTTTTTCATCTTGTTTGAGAATAAACCTGAGGCCCTGATTTGGGGTTACTACATGCTCTTTGAAGGCAGAGAGCATGTGCTTCCTCTGCATAGCTTCAGTAACTGACATGGAATAGTGAGAAATAGGAAGCTGTCTAGCAGACGGATGGGTGAATAGATGCACAAAGGAGTGAGTCCATATTCCCTAAGCCACAATCCACCATACAACTCTCTGTTTTCAGTAAGGTTGATGTAGGAGAAAAGCACAACTTCCCTTGCTATGTACCCAGAAAAAGAGAAAAAAATTCACTTACTGTGCTGTCTTCTTATGTCCTTGGCACTGATATTTTAATCATCTTCTTTGATTTCACTTACATGAAAAGGTGTATCCTACAATAAAATTATGATAATTTGCATAAATATGTACATGTGTTAATTCAATCACTAATTCATTAATTCAGTGGGTTTTTTTACCGTTGAACATTTGTCATTGTGTTCAAAGATGAACAAGATATTCAAAGTTGAATAAATGATTGTCATTCTCCTCAAGAAACTAAGAATAAAAACTTATAAGAAAAACTTTCATAACTCTAACATCTTATGGCACATGTTCCTTTCTATTCATTCTGGTTTGTCTGGACCACTCTGGTCTGAGTCTGTTGTTTCCACATCCTGCCTGGTTAGCTCCCCACGTCCCTCTCTGGAATGTCCGAGTTAGGTGATAAATTACATGGTTGACTATGTATTAGCCATACTAAAAAAAAAAACACTGCACTGTATGTGGATGTGAAAATGAAAATATGTCTCATCTCCTCTTCAAACTTTAAACTTCTTAAGGGCATAAGAAAATTATGTTCGAATTACTGAAATACACTTGCTTATGTTTTCAATCTTCCTAATACTTTCAAAACCTCAATCCAGATTTTTTAATAGAGATTAAACTTGGGATAATTAGTATAATGATTTAAAATATCACGAAACAAGGCTATTATCATTGGATGTTCACAGAAAGCCATTAAAAACTTTTATAAAGCAATGAGTGATGCTAATCAGGGTTCTGAAGCAGTATTATAAGCACTTCTTATTTATTCTATCTAAAGCACAAAAAGTGTAAAATGCTTTTTGCTTTCAACCGGATGTATTTTCCTCATCACAATTAACCCCTGCAGTTTCTTTCTGCTTCACGAGGCAACCTACTTACTTCTCCTATGCCCTAAGAAATGGTAAACATTATCTTGTGGAAGTTTAGTTTCACAGGTTCAGTATTCAGTGGAGAAATGGTTATGAAATAATGACCCAAGTATGTGGGAACTGCAGAAAATACCAGATTGAAGGGAGTGAAGGCAGTTTAGGTTCATTCTCGTCTTAAGAGTCTGCATAATTTCACTCTAGTTTTCCAAGATGGCATGCATAGTCTCCTTCCCATCACAAGTTCAGTTCTTGACCCCACACAGCCAACACTTGCCACTCACTGCAGCCTCACTTTTAGCCTCATGTACCTCAGTCCTTAGTATGTTCTTCTAGGGATTTGAGTACCAGCCTCAGGGTTTGTATTTTCCCCAGTTCACCTCCAAGCTGGAATACACTGAGGAATCTCCTCTGGAAGAGAGTTTGTGGTGACAGTTATGTCTTTCTTTTCGTTGTGAAACTACTACTGTTTATAATCTATATTTTCTATGGTCGCTATTCAGAATAGGTTATTTTATTCACTTTCTTTGTTTAATTCACTAAGTAAGTCCAAAAATCTCCATGGCTTCTGGGCACACGCTAAGAATAACAGGAAATTTATTATTTTAACCACTGTGCTTAGCCAGAAACCCAATATAAAAGATGGCCTTTTACTGGGCCCTCAAAATCAGAAGATTAAAGTCCTTTTGAACCAGAATGGAAAATCAATATTTTCTTCAAAGTAAAGATTTTTTTGAAATAAACTTTAATAATTAAGATATCTGTGCTATATCGTAGGGAACACCTTTTTTTAAAGGCTGTTTTAACAAAATTCAACCCTGATATAAACGTTTGAGGCATGACAGAAAAAACAGCAATCAATATTTAGAAACTTATTTTCTTTTTAAACTGAAATTATGATCTGATCTCTTTGGCTTATTAAAAAAAAATGTCATTTTGCTGGATGCAGTGGCTCACAGCTGTAATCCTGGCACTTAGGGAGGCTGAAGTGGATGGATCACTTGAGTCCAGGAGTTCAAGACCAGCCTGGGCAATATGGCGAAACTCTTTCTCAACAACCACAAAAATGCAAAAATTAGCTAAGCGTGGTGGAGCATTAACTGAAAAGTCCACAGTCCTAAGTCTCATCTGAGACAAGGCAAGTGCCTTCTGCCTATGAGCCTGTAAAATCAAAAGCAAGTTAGTTACTTCCTAGATACAATGAGGATTCAGGCATTGGGTAAATGCTGCCATTCCAAATGGGAGAAATTGGCCAAAACAAAGGGGCTACAGGCCCCTTGCAAGTCCGAAATCCAATGGAGCAGTCACATCTTAAAACTCCAAAGCGATCTTCTTTGACTGTATGTCTCACATCCAGATGAGGCTGGTGCAAGAGGTGTGTTCCTATGATCTTGAGTGGCTCCACCCGTGTGGCTCCGCCCATGTGGCTTTGCAGGTTTTAGCCCCTCTCCCAGCTGCTTTCACGGGCTGGTGTTGAGTGCAGCTTCTCCAGGCACACGATGCAAGTTGTGGGTGGATCTACCATTCTGGGGTCTGGAGGACAGTGGCCCTTTTCTCACAGCTCCACTAGGCAGTGCCCCAGTAGGGACTCTACTTGGGGGTTCTGACCCCACATTTTCCTTCTGCACTGCCCTAGCAGAAGTTCTCCAGGAGGGCCTCACCCCTGCAGCAAACTTCTTCCTGGACATCCAGGTGTTTCCATACATCCTCTGAAATCTAGGCAGAGGTTTCCAATCCCCAATTCTTGACTTCTGCACACCCACAGACTCAACACCATGTGGAAGCTGCCAAGACTTGGGTCTTGTACCCTCTGAAGCCCAAGCTGTACCTTGGCTCCTCTTATTCATGGCTGGAGCAGCTGGGACACAGGCCACCAAATCCCCAGACTGCACACAGCATGAGGACCCTGGGCCTGGCCCACAAAACCATTTCTTCCTCCTAGGCCTCTGGGCCATTGATGGGAGGGGCTGCCATGAAGACCTGTGACATGCCCTGGAGACATTTTCCCCACTGTCTTGGGGATTAACATTTGGCTCCTCGTTACTTATGCAAATTTCTGCAGCTGGCTTGAATTTCTCCTCGGAAAATGGGATTTTCTTTTCTATCACATTGTCAGGCTGCAAATATTCCAAACTTTAATACTCTGCTTTCTTTATAAAACTGAATGCCTTTAACAGCACCCAAGACACCTCTTGAATACTTTGCTGCTTAGAAATTTCTTCCACCAGATAACAAATCATCTCTCTCAAGTTCAAAGTTCCAAAAATCTCTAGCGAAGGGGAAAAATGCTACCAGTCTCTTTGCTAAAACATAACAAGAGTCACCTTTGTTCCAGTTCCCAACAAGTTCCTCATTTCCATCTGAGACCACTTCAGCCTGGACTTTATTGTCCATATTACTATCAGCATTTTGGGCAAAGCCATTCAACAAGTCTCTAGAAAGTTCTGAACTTTTCCACATTTTCCTGTCTTCTTCTGAGCCTTCCAAACTGTTCTAACCCCTGCCCGTTACCCAGTTCCAAATATGTTTCCACATTTTTGGGTATATACAGCAGCACCCCGCTCTACTGGTACCAATTTACTGTATCATGGCAGAAGGAAGAAGAAGCAAGTCACATCTTAGATGGATAGCATCAGGCAAAACAAGAGAGCCTGTGCAGGGAAACCCCCGTTTTTAAAACCATCAGATCTCGTGAGACTTATTCACTATCACGGGAACAGCATGGGAAAGACCTGCCCCCATGATTCAATTACCTCCCACCAGGTCCTTCCCACAACATGTGGGAATTAAACATGAGATTTGGGTGGGGACACAACCAAATCATATCAGCCACTAAAGAAGGACTTCAAGAATTCTCTACTGAAAACCTGTCTTCCTGTTTCCATGCAGATGGTATACTCATAAATAGTACCTGAACACTGGGTGTCTCTTCCTGCACATCAAGTCTGCATATCACCCCCTGACCTGCATAATAATAGTCAGCACCACAAACAGTTTAGCCCTTGGTGGTTCTCTAATTCCTTCTGTGTCTCTTCAACTATAACTTCTTAGTTCAAAGGTAGATATTTCTTTTTTTCCTTACTCTTATTATGACTAGTATTCAGGTACTCAGTAAATATTTATTTGTTAATTGATAGATTATCTGTAGTGCTGAGTGAAATGTTTACCCTGCCCAAAAATAAAGAGGAAGAAGAAAGAAAATAAATTTATAATGGCTATATACTTACACAGCACTTGCAGTAATACCCTCATTAAAATGATTAGTGGTTATAACACAGTTTAATTATTTGATAGTCAATTCCTGCATTTCTTCTGAATGGGGAATCCCTCCTACTAGGAGGAACATTTGAATCACTCTGATTTGGCAAATGGCATAGTCTTGTTTAAGACACTAGCATTCCCTGCCAATTGAGGCCCAAGGCTGGTTCTTCCCAATGAAACATGAACCAGCAGAGCATGAGGGGGTTTCAACTATGTCCTAGGGGACTACTACTAAAGATTTCTGGGGACACAGGCCAATTCTCACAGTATGTCAAGGATTCCGAAAGATTAATGGTCATTTGTCCAAGATATGGAATGAATTTCTACGCAAGAATATGAATCAATTTCAAACAGTTTGGAGTAAGTTATAGAAAACTAAACATTGGATAAAAACAGAAATATATCTACAAAATTTCCACCTTCTCATTCCCTCACTCATTCCCCTCCCCCAAGAAAATGAATGAACCAACACTCCCTTCATTTAATGTACATATGTGTGTATACACGCATTTAAATCTGTACTGAGAACAGCAATCTTTTCTTCTGGAAGGAGACTCAGATTCCTAAGGGGAAGGATATTGCTCTCAGTCTCTCAACCATTCCCTGGGAAAGTTAAAAATAAGTCCTGCTGAAAAAAATAAGTTGGCGCTTGTTATTTGAGAAAATTGCTTTATTCCAGGAACTGCCTCATGTAGCAGAAATTTATTTACCATCTGTGTGGACTTTAAAAATTTTCCATCTTAACTGATACACAACTGAAATAGAAACAGACTTTCCGTGCGTAGGTTTTGCACAGGCCTCAATTTTTTGAAGGGTGTTAGCTCAGAAACTTTTGGGATTTTTGTGGTCCCCAGAGTGGGAGAGCTCCATGGCTGCTCCTCGGCCTTGAGATCTCCTTCTGGGGAAGAGCCCAGGCTGATGTCACCCAGTGAGCTTGGGAGTGGCTTCAGCGTGGGGGTGGAAGGGAGTGAGATAGGATTTGCCAGGAAGCATTCCAGGGACTTTGCTGAAAGGCTGCTTTTCTTTTTTTCTCTTTCTCTCTTTCTCCTTTCCTCCCTTTCATCCTGCCCTTTCTCTCTCCCTTCTCTCTTTTTTTAACTTTTATTTTAAGTTCAGGGGTACAAGCGTGGGTTTGTTACATAGGTAAACTCGTGTCATAGGGTTTTGTTGTACAGATCATTTCATCACCCAGGTATTGAGCCTTGTACCCATTCGCTATTTTTCCTTCTCTTTCTATTTTTCCCTCCCTCCTTCCCTCCCTCCCTCCCTCCTTTCCCTCCCTCCTTTCCCTGCCTCCCTTCCTTCCTTCCTTCCTTCATTCCTTCCTTCCTCACTCTTTTTTCCACAACATAAATTGTATATACCAAGGGTGTATGACAGTGTTTTGCTCTATGAATACATTGTGGAATAATGGCCACAATCAATCTAATTAACATATCCATCACCTTATATAGTTACCATTTTCTCTTTTTTTTTTTTGGTGAGAACATTTAAGACCTATCCTCTTAGCAAATTTCAAGTATACAATTCAGTATCGTTAACTATTTTCACACGGCTGTACGTTAGGTCTCCAGAATAGTATCCATCCAGACTAATTAAAACTTTGTACCCCTTGATCAGTGCCTCCCCATTTCTCCCTCCCCCCAACCCCTGACAACTACCATTCTAGCCACCATTCTACTCACTATTTCTATGAATTTGACCATTGTAGACTCTAAAAATAATTGAGAACATGCAGTATCTGTCTGTGTGTGGCTTATTTCATTTGCATACTATTTTCCAGATTCATCCATGTTGTAGCATGTCAGGATTTCCTTCTATTTTTGGCTAAATAATATTCCATTGTATGCATGCACGTGTATGGGTGTGTATGTATATCAAGTTATCTTTATCCATTTGTCCATTCATTCATTGATGGACACTTAGGTGTCACTTGGCTACTGTGAATAAAGCTGCAGTGAACATGGGGTGCCAACATCTTTTCAAGGTACTGATTTCCTTTCCTTTGTATATATACAGAGTAGTGGGATTGCTGGCTCATGCAGTTCTATTATCCATTTTTTAGGACCTCCATACTGTTTTCCATATGGCTATATGGCTATACTTTTTTCCATATGGCTATACTAATTTGCATTCCCACCAACAGTGTACAAAAGTTTCCTTTTCTCCACGCTTTCACCAACACTTATTCTAATAACCATCCCAACAGGTGTGGGGTAATATTTCACTGTGCTTTTAATTTGTATTTCCTTGATGATTAGTGATGGCAAGCACCTCTTAATATACCTGTTGACCATTTCTATGTCTTCTTTGGAGAAATGTCTATTCATGTCCTTTGTCCATTTTTTAATGAGGTTATTAGGAGGGGTTTGGCTCTTTGGGGCTTTCTGTTGTTTGTTTGGTTGTTTTTTATTTTTATTGAGTTATATGAACTCCTTATATGTTTAGATAGGAATCTCCTAATGGATAAGATATATGGTTTGCAAGTATTTTCTCCCAATCTGTTATAGTTAGCTAGTACATTGTGCTTAAAAGATAAAAATAAAAGCCCTTTGAGAAATAAATTACCTTATTTCTGAAGTACTTTTAACTTATGTAGTCAGATAAGACAAATATGCTTTCTTCCTTTCCAGCTGTATCAAAGGATTATTTTATTCAAAAGTTTTATTAAAATATTCCACAAGAGGAAGTAATGGTTCACCAAAGGGGGAAAAAAATAAGGTTGAATGGGTGGCTGAGCACAAGGGAATTTATTGTTAGATGGTACTTTATATAAATGAAATAAAAATTGAGGGAAATCCAAATGCCACTTTCTATACAAAATAAGCTGCCCTGCCTGGCTATTTTCCCACAATATTGAGCTGTAATACCATTATTCTGGAGGGCAGAAACTAGAATTTCTTATATATTTAATTTTCTTCATAATATGTGCTTTCTCTTCAGGAAATCTCAGAATCTTTGGGGCATTTGCATATCCACATAGACTTTCAGCAAAACAATATGTTTTTCTAGAAAGGCATTGTAACAACTATTAGAAGGTCAAAATCATACCAAGTTATGTAGTCTATATATCTCAATAATATCTTTCAATCATTTATTATTGCACATTTTTATGCTTATCTTAACCTTCAAACACAGATTTCAATAAAACTTTTAGGGAATGAAAAATTATACAACATATCTATCATTTACCTTTGTGAATATCTATAATTCCTGCGATTTGAATAATTACTATATGTCAGCCCCAAGCCTAGACTCTTTATGAACAGTTTTGCTTTTAATGGCCACAATGTAGAAACTGGTACAAATTGATGAAAAAACTGAAGCCCTGAAAAATAAGCAACCTTTTGCAGGCCACAGAGCAATTCAGTTACAGCTATGACTCAGAGCTCAGGGAGTCAGAGCTCCACAGACCATTATTCTGCCCATGGTACAGACTTTTGGAACAGTCACTAATGTGAAAACCCAATCTTAATGGCATATATAGAATTTATTTTTCAAAGCAGTATTGATCTCAGTTTTTAAGTCTTTAAACACAGAAAAATTTAGAGCTTTATAATAAGAAAAATATCCAACGTGAGCTAGAAAAGGAATGATATAAACTCAATTAAAATGAAGAAAGAAAATTATTAAGATACAAGCAAAAATCTGGGAATAAAAAGCAGACACAGGCTGGGCGCGGTGGCTCACGCCTGTAATCCCAGCACTTTGGGAGGCTGAGGCAGGCAGATCACGAGGTCAGGCGTTCGAGACCATCCTGGCCAACATCGTGAAACCCCATCTCCACTAAAATTACAAAAATTAGCTGAGCGTGATGGCGCATGCCTGCAGTCCCAGCTATTCGGGAGGCTGAGGCAGGAGAATCACTTGAACCCGGGAGGCCGAGGTTGCAGTGAACCAAGATTGCACCACTGCACTCCAGCCTGGCAACAGAGCGAGACTCCATCTTAAAAAAAAAAAAAAAAAAAAAAAAAAAAGCAGACATAAAATTGGGAGAATCAACAACAACTAAAAAGCCAATCCTTTGATTTGAAAACTCTACAGATAAATGAATATGTCAACCTCCATCAAGGTAAGAAAGAAGAAACAAATAATATTAGAAATAAAAAGTGGCAGCCTGACATGCTGATGCACCTCTGTAACCCTAGCACTTCGGGAGGCTGAGGTGGGAGGAGTGCTTGAAGCCAGGGATTTAAGACCAGCCTGGGCAACATAGTAATACCCCATCTCTGCAAAAAATTTGTTAAATTAGGCAAGCACGGTGGTGCACATCTGTAGTCCTAGCTATCTGGGAGGTGGTGGATTGTTAGAGACCAGGTGTTCAAGGCCACAGTGACCTATGATCCCACCACCATACTCCGGCCTGGGATCATAATACCAGACTCCAGCCTGGGCCTCAGAGCAAGACAGAAAAGGAGAGGGGAGGGGAGGGGAGGGGAGGGGAGGGGAATGGGGGGAAGGGAAAGAGAGAGAAAAGAAAGGAAAAAAGAACTATTATTACCGATGAAGTAAAGATTAAGAAGGTAAGAGAATACGATGTAAATGTTTAAGTTAATAAATTTGAAAATTTAAATGAAATGGACAAATTACTGGAAAAGTATTACTTAGCTAAATGGAATTGAGGAAAATTATAATTTTCCAACACTTTTTCCGAAAGTGTTTAAAATTCTTCTATAAATAAAATGCCAAGTCCAGATGATTTTACAAGTGAATTTTAACCATCTTTGAAGAAACAGATTCTTTCGATTTCTTGTAAACTCTTCTAGAGAAAGAAAAGAACGAATGTCAGTCATAAACATAGGTGCAAAAAACAAAACATAAACAAAATATTAAACAGATTCAGCTGCATAAAACCACTTAAACACCTTAACCAAATTGGGTTTATCCCAGGAATAAATGGAATGGGCATTTTACTATTAGAAAAATCTATATATGTTATTTTAAAATTTGTATAATACTTATTAACAGATGAAAGGAGAAAAAAATTTATGATCATATGAAGAGATGCAGAAAAAGTATTTGGAAAAAGTTGACATCTATTGATTGATTAATTGATTTGGGACAGGAGCTGTCTGTGTTACCCAGGCTGGAATGCAGTAGCACAGTCATACCTCATTGCAGCCTCAACCTCTTGGGCTCAAGCAATCCTCTCACCTCAACCTCCCAAGTAGCTGGGACCATAGGCACGTACCATCACACTTGGCTGATTTTTTGTAAAGACAGGGTCTCTCTATGATGGACTCAAGCAATCCTCCCACTTTGGCCTCCCAAAGTGCTAGGATTACAGGTGTGAGCCACTATATCCAGTCCAACATCCATTAAAAAGAAAAAAAAAGGAATATAAGAAGAGACTAGAACTACCTTAACCTAACAAATTGATAGCTACAGAAAAAGGAGAGGGGAGGGGAGAGGAGGGGAGGGGAAGAAGAGAAAACTCTAACAAATAGCATTCCAAATGGGAACATACTATCATTGTCTCTCTTCAACTTGAAGTGGAACTACATTCCAACGGGGCAGGTGAAAAATCAAATTTTTGAAGCTGATTGTCTACTAAGTAAGCCCTCTAAGAATAATCAGGCAATTATTTGGAAATAAGAAAAGGATTTAGCAAACCTGTGAAAGTTTAGAAAATGTACATTTTTAAGATTGTCATTTTCAAAAACAACAGGAACTGTAAGTTACAAAGGAGTAAATCTTTATGTGTTGTACATTTGCATGTTATTCATTGGTGTAGGAAATCAATGAAACATGAGTGAAACATATTAAAGAAGATCTAAAATAAGTAGAGGGATATGTCATACTCACATATAGAGTCAATAACGTGGAGGGGTTTTTTTTTTGTGAAATAGTAGACAACCACTGTTAACTGACTCTGACATTTGATGTATTAGACTTTTCAGTTATTGCCAGTCTACAGGGTGTAAAACGGTACCTCATTATGACTTTAATTTGCATTTCTCTAATTTCCAGCAAGTTTGAGTTTTTAATGATTAAAAAATAAAGCCTGAAAAAATCTAATGTACATAGAACTTTGGTGTATGATAAAGGTATCCAGGAAGATCAGTTAGGAAAGAGATATATTTTTTACCTCTAATTTTGTGTCGTAGTTTCTCTTAGTACAGTGGCAATAAACTCTAGCCCTGCTCTGATGGGGCTCCAGGGAAGATGGTTGTGGATGTTTACAAGGTGCCTCCATGGGATACTTCATTAGGTAGACGGCCTAGTATCTAAGTATCTGACCTGTGACCAGGTATCTCTCCCACAGGAAATGTTGATACTGGCAGATATTCTTCTGGCTCTTGTCTAACGTGTGTTCTCTTTATTTCTACCAAGATAGCGACTCTGTAGGAGAGCTCTGGCCAGGAGGAGAGTTAGGTTAGAGTGTGTCAAGTGAGACACAGAGGAGGCAACTCAACAAAACACATGAAACAACAGAAGTGTTTTATTACTCACAGATCACAGAGAAAGAGGGCAGCACCCTTGCAGGGCCAACAGGAAGTGGGGGTATTGCGTCCAGAACACGCAGGCTCAGCGAGCAGGTAGGTAGCAAGAGAGAGAGGAAGTGACCTGTGGATGATGGCCTTTATTGGGGCCCGGGGTGTTACCTAAGCAGGATTCCCATGGGGGTTCTAACTGGTAGGTTTAGAACAAGCAGGTGTGAGCTCTGTGGAGTCACATTGTGGCTGTGTGCTTGTCGTTGCAGTATATCTGCCCCGTCTATGCCCAGTGAGGACATCAGTGGGGTGAGTCAAGTAGGTTGCATCTAGCTGCCCCCTAGGGAGGAGGTCACCAGGAGGTGGTTGTATAATCTGTATAAAGGCAGGTATCTGGATTGATCACCTTGAGGAAATGGAAGGTTGTAGAAACTGGAAACTGTGTCAAGGGTGACAAAGTCCTGATTCTAACTAACCCTGGTTCTGGTATGAGAACCAGGACATTGGTTCTCACAGAACCAATGAGAGGCATTGGAGGGGCATATGGTAAGGAGTTCATAAATAACATAGAAAGAATACTAAAAAGTTATTTCTTAGAAAAGATGGATATATTTGAATATCTTAAAATTTAGAAAATCTATTTAGAGAAACACAGTATAAGGAAATAATTTTTTAAAATAAAATGACAGTAGAAATTAGCAACATTTAGAAACAAAGAATAGTATTCAAATACTAATGAGAATGTCCTTTAAAACAATAAAAAAATACAAATAACCCAGAAGAAGAACGGGCAAAAAAATGGATATTTTATAGAACAGGAAACCCATATTGACAATAAATAAATAAAAAGAATATCAAACTCTTGAAATCAGAGAAATGCAAATTAAAGTCATAGTGACGTACCATTTCACTCTCTCTAGATTGGCACAATTAAAATGTCAAATACACCAAGTGCCAGAGTCAGGATCAACAGGAACTCCCTATACATTCTAGGTATCAATATAACTGATACAATAATATTAGGAAAAAAATTTGGCATTATCTCTTAAATGTAACCATTCACATACTCCAAAAATTAGGAACTTCACTCCTAGAAGTGTGTCCTAGAAACACTCGATTTTGTTCTCCAGGAAAGGTGGACAAGAATATTAATTGCATTACTGCTCATAATAATTAAATACTAGAAATAATCCAAAAGACCACGGACAACAGAATGGACAAATACTTTGTAGCATATCAATACAATGGCATATCATACAGATATGAACTCACTTAACTTATTCAACCTACAACACTAGAATTTTGTAAAGTAACATTGCAGGGAGCTATGCATGGTGGCATGCACCTGTAGTTCAAGCTACTCAGGAGGCTGAGGTGGGAAGATCAGCCCAGGAGATTACTAACAGCCTGAGCAACATAGTGAGTCCCTGTTTTTAAATAATATTGATATAAATAGTAGTAGTAGTGGTGGTAATGTTGCTGGCAGTAATGGGGTGAGTTTCCAAGTATTATACATTTATATAGCTGTAAAACAGCACTAACTAAAACCTTATTTAAGCATAAATATATATATATATATATATATATAAATATATATATATATATATAATTTAAAATTCTATATTTTTTAAAAAAGCAAGTAATAAAAAACAAAACCAAAAAAATTAGTGGAGGGTTATTCCATTGAGGGAGGTGGGGACAGGAGAGGAGAGGAGCACAAAGGTAAATGGAAGTCATTGGTAATTTTCCATTTCCATGGTGGCGGGGGGTGGATTCACAGGGGATCATTGTAATATTATGGGTTATAATTTACATATATGGGACATATGTTTCGTGTATCAACTGATGTATTAAAAGGCAAAAAAGAGAAACATTTAATGTGATAACAAATGTGATTGCGTTTAACCATAAAGATTTAGGCAGTTTTTTATTGCTGTTCTTTAAATTGTTATTTTTGAGATTTATGTTTCCTAATTAGATTGCAAATGCTCAAAGGCAAGGATAATGACTTATAATTCTAACTAACACATGGTCAAGAGGATACATGAATGCATTCAGTCAGTGAAAGAAATAAAGAGTAGCTACTGTTGCTTTTGTGTAAATCTCAATTACCTCTGACCCTGGGCACTTGGCCTTCTTCACCACACATCTAGCCCTCCAGATTAAGAAGACAAAGATCCATCTGCCTAAAAAGCCCAGGGTTTTAAGAAGCTTTGTTTCTCTGTGTCCTCCAAGAAATCCAACAACAACCCTGCTGGTTTCCCCCGGCCTCAGCCCACATCAATGTGCCCTGCAATTTTTTTCTTGCATTTTGCCTATATCTTGAGTCTTTCCTAACTCTGGGAAAACTTTTCACTGTGCTCAAATTTCATCTTTTTCTCTCTTCTTTTTATTTCAGTTTATCTCCTTCACTTATTTCATCCCTGGGGCTACAGACAAGGAAATAGGTTAGCTCCATTTTTCCTTCTGGCTCTTTCTGAGCTCTTTCGTGTCCCCTTGAAAAGAACTTTTACTCTCTCCCCAGATGGTCCTCTTTCCCTAACAGAAACTCTCTAGGGAAGGATGATAATCCCAGTCTTTAAAGACATAGGTCCTGGGAATCCGGCAAAAAGTCAGGTTCCTGTTTCCTCATCAGAGAATAATAAGCCAAAAATAATAACTATGAGTGGCTATTAGAACAACGTCCTTTCCCCATGACCAGAAGTGACTAGCCCCAATTTGGAGCAAACCAAGCACAAAAGAATTCTTGTGTCTATTTTATGAGAAATCTTTACCAAATTCACTACATTCAACAGGCCTATTTCAAAGGTAAACACAAGTAAAGCCTTTTCATGAACAAACATCCATAAGAAATCAATGGGAAAAACACCGTAGGAAATATTCTGTTAGTCTGAATATGTATCAGACTTTTAGGTATATTTATTCCTTAAATCAGACCTGAAGAAAGTACTCCATGTCCTAACAGGTCTTATTTTTAAAATATTCTCTTTCAATGATTAATCTCTGTTACCTTACAGCAAAGAGGTTACAATCACCCAAGTATTATTCTCCTTTGCAGCTAATAGAATCTGAAACACTTGATCATGATCGAGATACAAATTTCAGTAATCATATTCCCACAAGAACTGCAAATCTGACAGATATTCAGTCACACCTAGTTACTATGATAGGTAAGTCTGTTGTGTAGTTCCCTAAATGCCGGCAACCAGATAAAAAAATAAAATAAATAAATAAATAAAACCAGCTCATAAACTACCTTTGCTTGTTTTTTGTTTGTTTTTTAAGACTATGTAAGAGGCTATGTTGGATAGTCAATATATTTCAGTTTGAAATTGCCAGATGCATGTTGCCTGTGATTCCAAAGTTTTAAGGCCAGTTACTTCTGATTTATTTTTATTCTTTGTGCTAATGATACCTATGCATCATCATAAGCAACAATAAAACCATAGGGGTAGCTATAGCAACTGATACACTATGCGTTCAACGTTCTTTTTTAAACACTGCTGGAAGAGAGTGAGCTCTTCACTACCTTGTAGTTACCTTGATTCCAATCTGGTGAATGTCTTCTGTTTTCCAAAAGCTGTTTAACTTAGATATAAAGAACAGACATATCTGCAATAAGAACAATTTACCAAGAATAAGAATAGTAGGCCGGGCGCGGTGGCTCACGCCTGTAATCCCAGCACTTTGGGAGACCGAGGCAGGCAGATCATGAAGTCAGGAGATCGAGACCATCCTGGCTAACACAGTGAAACCCTGTCTCTACTGAAAAATACAAAAAAAAATAGCTGGGCGTGGTGGCGGACACCTGTAGTCCCACCTACTCGGGAGGCTGGGGCAGGAGAATGGCGTGAACCTGGGAGGCGGAGCTTGCAGTGAGCCAAGATCGCGCCACTGCACTCCAGCCTGGGCTGTCGCCAGCCAGCCAGACTCCGTCTCAAAAAAAAAAAAAAAAAAAGAATAGTAATGGTATTTTATTCCTCTTGTTCAGGATACATTGTCAGCCAAGTTACAAAAGAAAAGTTCCCAGGTGGATTTAGGGGTTTTCAGACATCCTTGGGTCATATGGCATATGTTATTAGACACTACAGGATAAAATGACAAATAAAAAATTGGTAAATTTTCAATAAAAATTTTCTTGAATGAGTTTGGATAGAATTTGTACAAAATAAGTTGAAAATATATTTGGTGAACCATGAGGCGTCTGGCCTTGCAGTGGTAATTCTGTGTCCTCCTAGAAAAAGGCTGGAGGTGAGCAACAGGAAGTCTCATTCTGCCCCTACTATTCCTATAATGTGCCCATCCCATTTGTAATACAAAGATGGAACAGAGAGGAACAAGAAGAAAGATCGTAAAACGGGGCTTTCTCTCCACTACTGCTGAGGTGAGAGGAGCAAGATATGACCAGAGATAAATACCTCACTAATATTGTTGCTGGTAGATCCACAGAAGCATCACACAGCATGTCACAGGCTGCATCCTCAAATACTGTGTGTATTAACTTAATTATCAATGAGGAAGATAGTACGGGGTAACGAAGAGCATCGGCATCAGAGAGGAGAGATGAGGCTCCCTCTGCCACTACTTAGCTGTGAGATCCTGGGTGGGTAAGTCATTGAATCTGTTCCCTATCCTGTAGAAAAGACAGAGGGAATGGAACACTTTGCGGAGAGGATGGGCATGGCCTGGGACCAAGCATAATTTGAAACTAATAATAAATAATAATAAACCAATAGTAAATAAATAAACCAATAATAATTTTATATCTCAGAAAAGGACAAAAACTATCATCATCATTATTAAAAACTACAGAAGATAAACTCAACAAAAATCTTGTCTGATGGAAGTTGATAGACTCCACAGTGTTTATCACCTAAAGGCAGAGGCCTGCCCTTGGCAGGGCAAGGACAGAAGGGGTCAGGCAGGGAGAGGCAAATACATTAATGTTTATAAAGGGGTGGAGGGAAGCTCCTGTACATGTTTGTAAATGTTCAGACATATTGTGTGGATTGAAATACCAAATTTTCATGTAAAGAAATGGAGAAATCTCCATAAGACACATTGGTATGGGATACAAATACCCTGGCATGGTAGCTTCCCTCATTATCATGTTATTCCTACACATATTTTGCTGTCATTGCTGTTGAGACAGGCTCTTGCTCTGTCCGCCAGGCTGGGGTGCACTCGCACCATCATAGCTCACTGCAGCCTTGAACTCCTGGGCTCAAGCAAACCTTTTGCCTCAGCCTCTAGAGTAACTGGGACCACAGATGTGCACCACCATGCCCAGCTAATTTATTTCTTTGTAAAGACAGGGTCTTGCTCTGTTGCCCAGGCTCATCTCAAATTCCTGGGCTCAAGTGAACCTCCTGCCTTGGCCTCCCAAAACGCTGGGATTACAGGGATGAGCCTTGGCACCCAGCCCTACATATATTTTTACACGCACAGGACCCTGTTTTTCCCCTCACACTGTGAAATAAGCCACTGTAACTCCATAGAGGAAAGAAAACTGTTTCCAGAATCAACGCACAGAGCACAGGCGCTTATTGCATGCACTGCGATTCCTAAGAATGCCTGGCTGTAATATCAGACGTAAGCCCCACATGTGTAGTAACTCCTTTTACCCTTGCAAAGGCAGGAGTCTGCCATCAGGAAAGATCAGCAGAAGTGTCTATCTGCGTCCCTTTATTTTGATCCACACCATCATTTCCCCCCAGAGTATCTCCTTGTCTTTTCTCTTGTCCTTTCCTGGAACCCTCTACTACCACAGCTTCACTCTCATACCCTTTAGGGTGACACTTGTTGCCTTGGACTGTAAATGCTTCCTTACTTTGATCCTACCCTAGGAGATATTCCAGGATGGAGATGGATTTTTATTTGCCTTTGCAAAGCCCACACACAATCAGGTCTAAATATCTTTTATGATGACTGAATGAATGAACGCCCAGAACACGTGCAGTGAGCTTACGGTGAATCTGTACAGAAGTCTTTTAGTAAGACAGTCAATGTTCATGGAGCTGTTATAAAAAAGGAAGACATTTTGCAAGGAGCCATGGGAGATGAAAATTTGTATGCAGAGGAGAAACATAGTCTTTTAAATGCTGTGAGGCAATCAGAGAGATGGGCCTTTTCCAATGAGGACAAGCAGTGTATTTTAGAATCCCCCAAATGATACAGACAATACACATCAGGATAAGACATATCAGGTAAGGATTCATGTGCTCATGTGCTCAACCATTCTTGATCGAGAGCTTTATTGAGTTCCTAACACTGCCTTAGATGCCAGTCCTGCAGCAGTGAGCAGAATCACTTGGGGAAGTTTCAGAGGGGGCAAGATGAAATAATTCAATTGAACTGAAGGGTGGGTAGCTTCAGACACAGGCAGAGAAGAACCAGGAGGTCCTTCCCGGCACAATACACACAAAGCGATATTGGGCGAGATGAGGGCGTGTCACCAGGCCACCCTCCTACTCATAAAATTATAAAAAGAGTTGTGCACAGAAACCTTTTTATAGCGTGTGTTATGTGGCATTTGTATTCTTCAAGTTTTATTATGCTTATTCACAGGAAGCAGTTTTTCCATAACATTTCCTTTTTTTTCTAAAAATCAAAGGGGTCACTATTTAGACCGGATGGGAAAGGGAAATCATAACAGCAGCCCTTCTGGAACTTGGCTGTGCGGGAGAAGTTGGCCAGAGAATTAGCATAGACCATGCTGGAGTGGCAGAACTGGGGGTCCTGGGGCCCAGGGCTCACCACTGTGCACTCCCAGCCCCTGCCCCCATTGGAACACAGCGCAGTTCCAATGAACAGAGAGACAATACTTATTTCTCTAAGAGAAAAACTGAAAAGCCTGGTAATTATGCTCAAAAGAGTTACTTGGTCATTATACAGCTACGAGGAAGGAGAGGGAAAAAACCTTTCTTTCACAACTTATTTATTGACACAATTATCTGAAAAATAAAATCAGGAAGAAAGCCATGGCTTGGAATCTTTTTGAAAAGACCACCTTCTGACATTGGGATAGATCCAGAGAAGGTCAACACCCTCCACTTCCTGTCCCAGAGAAAGAGAAAAAAGACACAGAATGAAAGAGGGGGAGGGAAAGGAAGAAATCAGAAAAACACAGAACTTCACAGAGCTTAGAAATTCTCTAGAGATTAAGAAAAAAAGGAACTTTCAAGAGAACTAATTTTTAGCAGTTCTCTAAAAGTTCAAGAGAATTTTTAGAAGTGCTGCTTTTAGAAAATCAAACTATGGTTCATTAGGTTATTTAAAAATCATATTTCATTATTAAATATTATTCATTAGCTGGATGCAAGAAATAGATTGATGTGTGGTCATAGAATTGAATCAAAATTTTTAGCTGGTTAGTGAGTTGGACTTTAATCTACAAAAAATGCTGTTTATATCACATGAGGATTTATCTTTCATATGCTATTGTGCATAACTAATTTCCAAATCAAGAGTAAGTAAACTTTTTAAGATTTTTAACAATAGTCATAAGCGCATCTTTTTTTTTTTCCAAATGAAGAAAGACTGTGGGCTTGGTTTTTTAGATTATTTTATATTACACATATGGAGGTAGGACAGTAGTGACAGTGTCCCCAAATCTGCTTTGAGGGAAAGAAATCATAATTATGGATTTAGCCCTTATTTCAAAAGGTTATTTGAAGTATTTTCACCTACTGACATACGAAGTGACAGCAACATTTGTGATTTCATAATTGTAGTAGTGACTTACTATCAGATGACTGTTTTTAGACATTGCACAGTGTGATCTCTGTGGTAACAGAGAGCAAAGTATTATTTTGGAGTTTTTTCAAATGCCAACTTAGCATTTCAAATAACAAGGGAATTACTTAATGAGCTCACTCTATGTTAGAACATTTTGCTGACTGTATCTTACCAAGGCTCCAAAAAAATCAAAACTTCAATTAGTAGAAATATCAATGGGCTGGGAGTTAAGAATTCTGTGCTCTAATTCTTACTCAGTTTAATTCTGGGAAAGTCACCTCATTTTTTGTGCTCTTATTTATGGAGCAAGGTTAAAGTTTCTTCCAACTCTAAAATTATGGATCTTGCCAAAATTGCTCCATCAAAGTTACACAACTAATGGTAATAAACATAACACTCAAATTTTGGCTAGAATTAAAAATTTTTATCTCAGATAATTTGTCTGTTAAAGTTCATGTATGACTTAAACATTGTGTTCTATAGTGTCTAGACTCTTTCTACTTTCTTTTATAAAATGGATTCCGTACTGATTGCTTTAGATTCTAGCACTGAGAGCCTTTAATTTTCACATACTCTCAGTTTTTCAATTATTAATTTACTGTCCAACTTCGTGGTCTGTGTTGGTCCTTCTTGAACCTATTCTATACTTTAATAAAGTATTTCAAAAAAGATAATAAATGACAGGAATTTGGATCAATGATAAATAACTTCTCTTTTCAGCTATTCCCACACTACCATAATACAGAGGCAAAAAGTAAAGGTTTAAGAAATTCATGTTTTTCTTCCTTCTACGCAAGCAAAAATTTGATGCTACCTTGGTGGGGCAGGGATCATCGGGAATCAGGGCTGCTAAATTGCATCATTGAACTAAACCACCTGACTCCAAAGAAGGGATTGTGTGTACTGTTTTTATTTCTTTTTTTTTTTTTTTTTTTTTTTTTGAGATGGAGTCTTGCTCTGTCACCCAGGCTGGAGTGCAGTGGCGCGATCTCGGCTCACTGCAAGCTCCGCCTCCCAGGTTCACATCATTCTCCTGCCTCAGCCTCCCGAGTAGCTCGGGCTACAGGCACACATCACCACACCCGGCTAATTTTTGTAGTTTTGGTAGAGACAGGGTTTCACCATGTTGGCCAGGATGGTCTTGATTTCTTGACCTCATGATCTGCCTGCCTCGGCCTCTCAAAGTGCTGGGATTACAGGCATGAGCCACCGTGCCCAGCAACATCATCTAACTTTATCTCTTTTGATTTTGTTTCTAAGAATTTTCCAGGCATTACCAATAATATAACATAGCATGACAGGAGCATATTTTATACTATATAGTAACATTTACTAAACAGAATCATATTTTATATAATTCAACAAAATAGACAGTGGCTTTTAAAATAATTTGTCTTCATTCTTCCATTCAGTAGACATTTGTCAAACACTCATTGTGAGCACGGTATAGGGCTAGATTTAGGGAAAGTTCGCAATATTCTGACAAAGACAGACACATTTGAGAAAAATACTAAGTGCAACCAAAAGGCCGACCCAGGGAAATAGAATTGAATCAAAAACAAAGATTTTTAAATCCAATTTGTCAATGTAATACAGATTATCTAAGTGGTAATGAAGGTTGTGTTCTACAACTGGACGTTTCCAGTGATGACAACTACAAAATAAGAGGGCACCATTTGACCACATTGATAACCCTGCCGATTTAATTGATTTTCTCCAGCTTGATATACAGCTGCACCAGTCTTTGTCAGCACCTGGAAAGAGTACTATAATCACAGCTAAGTCAATGGTAGTAGAATTTGTCTTTGGAGCTGATCTCAGCATTCAAACCAAAGGCCCTGCAAAGCAGTATATTATGGAGGGGGGCACGGTGGCTCATGCCTGTAATCCCAGCACTTTGGGAAGCTGAGGCAGGTGGATCATTTGAAGTCAGGAGTTCAAAACCAGCCTGGCCCACATGGTGAAACCCCATCTCTACTAAAAATACAAAAATTACCCAGGCATAGTGGAGCAAGCCTATAATCCCAGCTACTCAGGAAGCTGAGGCAGGAGAATTGCTTGAGCCTGGGAGGCAGGAGTTGCAGGGAGCTGGGATCCAGCCCTGCGCTCCACTCTGGGTGACAGAGTGAGATGCTGTCTCAAAAAATAAAAATAAAAAAAAAAATAAAAAAGGAAGTAGAAGTATGTTATTGGAGATCTACTACCTGTCAACTCCCACAAGAAAGAAATGTAGCACATAATTCCTGCTTTCAAGGGCAATATAGGCAAGGCAAAAAAACTTTCACATATGAAACTATTGGCTGGTATCCAACACTCTGTGATGCTGATTGTGAAAGCAAAAATAATTGAGAAGAAAAAGGGCAGAATACAGAGAAATCATACAGCAATGCAACATTCAGTAACCATCTATAGATGCAAAGGCCAAAATGTTTAGAAACTAAACTGAAGTTATTAGGGATCCATGGACCCCAGAGTAAGAAGCCCTAATCTAAGATTTTGCTGTTACGGGAAACTCTGCTGCAAATCTCGAAAAGAAATGATGCTTTTCCCCTTTGACACAAAGCTTTTTAATTCTTTAGAACACTCTTTGGAAGACAACACTTGTTGAATTAGCAAATGAACAAATGAATGAATCAACAAAATTAACACAAATTTGGGGCTTTCAGACTGAACTTTGTTATCTACATTGTTTCAGTTCCATATTTGTATTTATTTTTCTTGTATTTATTTATTTTTTGAGACGTAGGGTCTTACTCTGCTGTTGCCCAGGCCAGAGTGCAGTGGCATGGTCATAGCTCATTGCAGACTTCAATCTCTGGGTTCAAGTGCTCCTCCAGCCTTGGCCTCTCAAAGTGCTGGGATTACATGCATGAGCCACCTTGCCTATCCTCGAATTTTTATAAGATGCAACTTGACTGAAATGACAACTATTAAGTGAAATGACAACTGTTGAAAAGAGAAAAACTAATTTTAGGCACAGGGTGGCCAGAGAAGAATTCACTGAGAAGGTGATTTTGGAGAAAAGACTGAAAGAGATAAGGGAGAGAGCCAGTTTTCCAGATGGGGGTGAAGGAGCTGTAGAGTCTTCCCGAATAGCTTGCAGGAGATGCTTGAGATGGAAGCTGGGGATGCAGGTGTGTCTGGAGCAGAGGGAGGTAGATGAAGTCTGGAGGAGTTAAGGCCACGAGATGAGCCAGCTGCAGCGACATTAGGCTTTGGAGAATCTTTGGCTCCTGTTCTGAATGTCATGGGACACTTGGAGTGCTTTGAGGAGAGGAAGTGTACAATCTAACACATGCATTTTAACAGACCGGCCAAGGATGTTTCTGTGTAGGCAATTGTGTGCAATGGATATACAATTGTGTGCATCTGTACATGTAAGAGTCTGCTTAAATGATGTTACCTTTTTCCCTTTATCAAAGGCAAATATTTTCAATTCATTTGTAATATTTGCTTTAATAAATAAAAAAGAATCATTTTGTTTGATTTATATGAAAAGTGTGAGTTATGAACAATGGAGTCATTTCACACCTCTTATCTAACTAATTTATTTACTCATTAAATCATTCAACAAACATTTGTTGCAAGTCTACCGTGTATCAGGCACTTGGCACATGGAGATTCAGTGAACAACAAAAAAAAACTAGATCTCAGATTTCAAAGAAGTCCCAAACATGCTTATCTATCTCCAAAATCTTTACCACCTATATACCCCACAACAAATGGTCCCAATACTGCATGCTCTACAAATATTACAAAACTCTTGGCCAGGCACAATGGCTCACACCCTAATCCCAGTGCTTTGAGAGGCCAAAGCAGGAGGATCACTTGAGGACAGGAGTTTGAGACCAGCCTGGGCAACATAAGGAGACGCTGTCTCTACAAAAATTAAAAAATTAGCTAGGCATGGTGACTCATACCTATAGTTCCAGCTACTTGGCCAGCTGAGGCAGGATGATCACTTGAGCCCAGAGGTCGACGTTGCAGTAAGCTATGATCACACCACTGCAGTCCAGCCTGGATGACAGAGCAAGACCCTATCTCTGAAGAGAAAAAACTAAACAAGAAACTCTTGTATACCTCCTTCTTTATTATGTACCCATCAGGCACATTTGTTCCAAGTCTAACTCCTTCTTTCTCTGCAGTATTGTTGAAATTTAAATATTACTTTTTGCCTTGTTAGGAACTTCATGGAAATGATCTTTTAAGAAAATAATGTACTTTGTGAATATGTTTTATATATGAATTATAGTATTTTAGGAAGACAGGAACTTTTTTTTTCCCCTAAGAGATGTTTCAACCAAGAAAATCAATTTTTTTCCAACTGCTTCTTCATTTTCTCATATTTCATGCTGGTTTTCTTTACAAGATTTTTTTTTAATGCTCATGAAACTATGACCTTGTATAAGTTTCCCAGGAGACATGATTCTCAGCATTTTGTTGGACAAACATTTGTTTTTTGTAACTACATGAACAAGCCAAATTGCACGTAGTCCAAAAAATAATTCTGGCCTTTTTAACTACACTCTTTTTCTTTTTAATGCCATATTCAAGGAATCCCAGTACAGTGGCAATTAAAACATGCGAATTTTGCCATTTAACCATGAGAAGGATTTACAGCCTTGGCACATATAGTAAGATAAGTTAACACTCTGAGGAAGGTTTCACAGTATATTCTCATTTTAATTGTCAGTTGAGTGGACATGAAGAAGGCATTTCTGTTTTACAACTTCAAATACATTTATTTACTTAAACAATATGCATAAATCAGAAACATTTACATCCTAATACATATAGTAGCAACTCATAAAGAAGACATCGTTATAATGAAATTTAACTGTAAAATAGTAGTTCTACAATTATAACAAAGTACTATTGAGTTTCAAATTACAGGACGTTGAATAAAAGAAAACCTAGCCAGGCTAAAGTCATTTCTATAAATTCTTTTGAGGATAGTCATGAGATTTCCAATGAGAGATTGCTTCCTTAAGCCAGACAAATGAATTGGCTGCTCAACTTAGTCTCAGTAAACATTTCTATCTGAAAAAAAAAAAAAAAAAATATATATATATATATATGTATATATATACATATATATATATGTATATATATATACATATATATATGTATATATATACATATATATGTATATATATACATATATATATGTATATATATACATATATATATACACATATATATATATATATATACACATATATATATATATCCTGGGCCATCTTATTCTTTTAGTAAACATCTAATGAATTTCTCTATTTTAATAATTATTACCAAAAACACCTCCTAAGGAATATCTATAAATGACTTGCCGCTTTATTAATTTTTTGATAAAATGAATCTTTAGTCTTCTTAATGCTTGCTTATATATCATTACATTACATTCTTCTTTAATTTTGTAAATATATATTTTTAGAATTTTTTAGAATAATTATATATTTTTAGAATATTTTATTTTTTTGATCCTGATGAAAATGCTGAAGATGCTCATTCTGTCTTGGGCCAGTCACTTACCTATTTCTCATTTCTTCTATAAAATGAGGATTAAATTGCCTGATAGGGTTTTGTGAGGAAAAAGTGAGGTTGTGACTATGAACTCATTCTGAAAGATTAAAACAACAACAACAACAAGAAACTGTGAGCTACTATTGTTATTTAATTACAATTACTCATATCATGGCCATTCTCATCCGGAAATTAGAGCCAGCACAGCTGTGGAGGTAGCTGAGCAAACAAGGGCATGTTAGAATATTTTGATGTTAGAGTATCCCCTCGTGGAAAGTCAACAGTCCCAAAATGACCAAGCGTGTATGATTGTATGCTTAAACTAACCCTGAAACTAAAAATTTCATCAAGTGAGATCAGCATGGTTTGGATTAATCAGGGGGGTAGCAAAATTGCAAGTTTTGGTTAATATTTTTGCTATATGTGAGGTACCAGCAAAAACATATTTTAATTCTAAGACCATCTGAGATCATCATAATGTACTGAAGGAGCTCAAGTCAGAAAACAAAGCAATACTTTCCATTAGCCACTCTATTTTCTTCTGATAGTTCTATGATAGTTATTTGTACCTATCACTTTAGCAAATGGTTGAAAAGTAAATACCTTCTTAGTTATAGCAATCTCATTATAGATTTGGGCATGAGGCTATCTGAATATTTTGATGTAAAGTAGAAATTGTTTCAGTCTCTCCTCTATCCATAGATAGGATAACATAAATTGAGTTACTTTTTTACTCTCACTGTGTGATGTTTAATTTATACAATAGATGTAACTATTGAGGTCAGTGGAGCTATAGGCAAGTATAGATATAAGCTGATTGAGTACAATTCTTAAAAATGTTAGTTTTTATACATGTTTATTTTAATGCATATTCATAAAGATATATATAATTATAAAATAATTTTTATTTATTTTAATTATTAAATTAACAAATATTTTTCATTAGATAACTCTTCAAATGTTGCTAGTTTTATTGCATCTTTTATATAAGATTTTAAAAGACTATCTCTCAAATAAAATTGGATGTCAAATGCAGCTAAAACAAGCCAGACTTAATGGCAATAAAGTCTGATTTAAAAAAATAGCCAATAGAACCCTCGTACTCTGTTGGTGTTCATGGAAATTAGTACAACCACTATGGAGAACAGTTTGGAAGTTCCTCAAAAAACTAAAAACAGAGCTACCATATGATCCAGCAATCCTACTGCTGGGTATATACCCTCCCAAAAAAAGAAATTAATGTATCAAACAGATATCTGCAATCCCATATTTGTTGCAGCACTGTTCACAATGATCAAGATTTGGAAGCAACCTAAGTGTCCATCAACACATGAATGAATAAAGAACATGTGCCCCATATACACAATGGAGTACTATTCAGCCATTTAAAAAAAGAATGTGATCCTGTCATTTTCAACATGGATGGAACTGGAGGCTATTATGTTAAGTGAAATAAGCCAGGCACAGAAAGACAAGCATTACATGTTCTCACTTATTTGTCAGATCTGAAAATCAAAGCCATCGAATTCATGGACATAGAGTGTAGGAGGCTGGTTACCAGAGGCTGGGAAGGGTAACATCAGGGTGGGGGACTGTGGGGATGGTTAAGGAGTATAAAAAATAGAATGAATAAGACCTACTATTTCATAGCACAACAGGGAGACTACAGTCAATAATAATTTAATTGTACATTTTAAAATAACTAAAAGAGTGTAATTGGATTGTCTATTACACAAAGGGTAGATGCGTGAGGGAATGGACGCCCAATTTTCCAGTATGTGATTAAGAAGCATTGCATGCCTGTACCAAAATATCTCATGTACCTCATAAATATATACACCTACTATGTATACACAAAAATTAACAGTTAAAAAATTTTTTAAATAGTCAATAAATGACTTTAATGTGGTCTAAGCCAGGCAAAAGACCTTTATACATCTTTGTTTTTTCAAACATATTTACTCTTACTTTATTTCGTTGTTATCTTAAGAAAATTTGACCTATATCTATCCTTTTTCTTTTTTTCTTTTTTTTTTTTTTTTTTTTTTTTTTTTTTTGAGACGGAGTCTCACTCTATCACCAGGCTGGAGTGCAGTGACACGATCTTGGCTCACTGCAACCTCTGCCTCCCGGTTTCAAGTGATTCTCCTGCCTCAGCCTCCAGAGTAGCTGGGACTACAGGCACAGGCCACCATGCCCAGCTAATTTTTGTATTTTTAGTAGAAACGGGGTTTCACCATGTTGGCCAGGATAGTCTCAATATCTTGACCTCCTGATCCGCCCACCTCGGCCTCCCGAAGTGCTAGGATTACAGGCATGAGCCACCGCGCCTGGCCTCTATCTTTATTTTCATTGGGATGACAATTTGATTTGGAGAACTATGTTGATGGCTGTTAATTTTGCAAGACTTATTCATGAAAACTTTTCACTCTTAAAATATGAAGTCATCAAAATATCATTAAGTTATATTCTAACAAAATTAAAAAGTTGAGAAAATAAAGAATACAATTTCAAGTAAAAATATAGTTTTCAAATTCAAATATTGTTTTCAAAATAAGCTTTCTAAGTTTGACTACCCCTAATTTTAAAAAGGTGTAACTGCAGAATTTCTCTTCGGCCTTTTTTTTTTTTTTTTTTTTTTTGAGACAGTCTCACTCTGTTGCCCAGGCTGGAGTGCAGTGGCACTATCTTGGCTCACTGAAACCTCCACCTTCCGGGTTCAAGTGATTCTCGTGCCTCAGCTTCCTGAGTAGCTAGGATTACAGTCACCCGCCACCATGCCCAGCTAATTTTTATATTTTTAGTAGAGACAGCGTTTCACCATGTTGGCCAGACTGGTCTCGAACTCCTGACCTCAGGTGATCCACCTGCCTCAGCCCCCCAAAGTGCTGTGATTACCACCCAGGCCACCATGCCTGGCCTCTCCTTGGTTCTTTAAAATAATTATGATCTATTTTACTCAATAAATTTATTTTACTAAATAATGATTTATTTTACTTAATTTGATTTATTTTAGTAAAATGATTTATTTTACTAAATAAGGAGCTAAAAACTGGCAATTTTAATGGTGCATACTATAACTGACTGCCACAATAATACAGAGTTGGGGAAGCCTGTAATCTAGTATTATAAAGTTATAGCTATCACCTAATTGAAAATTTTCCTCAATTAGATAAGAACCCCACTGCTGTGTTCTTGATACAGATTTTGATTTTTCTTCACATTGCATCACAGCCTGCCACCAAGATGCAAAATGGAAACACAGGATTTTTTTTATTATACTTTAAGTTTTAGGGTACATGTGCACAATGTGCAGGTTAGTTACATATGTACAGATGTGCCATGTTGGTGTGCTGTACCCATTAACTTGTCATTTACATGAGTTATATCTCCTAATGCTATCCCTCCCCCATCCCCCCACCCCACAACAGGCCCCAGTGTGTGATATTCCCCTTCCCGTGTCCAAGTGTTCTCATTGTTCTATTCCCACCTATGAGTGAGAACATGCAGTGTTTGGTTTTTTGTCCTTGCGATAGTTTGCTGAGAATGATGGGGAAATAGGATTCTTTCCACCTGTGTCAGGTTCCTAAATCCTGTCTTGTGTTTGCCAATGATGCATCCTATAGCCAGTACATAATAGATAAAAGTTTGCAAATTGCACTTTCTGGGTTAAAACAAACATAACACAATCTCCTCTTTGAAAGAGGTAATTATCCCTCATTTGACGCTGGGAAATATTGCCCCACACTTTCCAAAATGACCTTGCCTCCTTCTTGTTTCAAAGACAAATGTTCCCTCCATTTCTCTCTATTATATCAACTCTATGGCAGCTGAGCTGTGTGCCAATCTCCACATCTCCAAAGACTATTATTTACTCAAGTCCAACAATATATTTAGCTTTCTACATAAAAAGGGTCTTTGTCAAGCCCAGCGATCTTTGAATCTAGGTCGTTTCACAATACTAGGATGATTTTTCTTAATTGCTTCATAAGGTTAACCTCTGGAATGATTGTGGCTTGTAAGGTATATAATATGCTCATTAAATTGTTTTTTTCAGTAATCCATGAAATGCCTGAAAACAGGCATCAGCTGACAGAGTTTCTCCTGTTCTCTAAACAAAAATGTCTAAAAAAACCCATAGCGGGAAAGAACAGATGCTCCAAAACCTCCTGAAACTGCCAGAAAATGATCCCGAAAACTGGTGTTTCCTTGCTGTGAAATCTGCTAGTGTATAATACATCTGTGAAATCTGCTAGTGTATAACACATTTGTGGCCGTATATTAGAAATGACCTAATCTGTGCAAAAACTGTTCTAAAAGATTCTTTCTGAAATTAAAAGGCAAAATTAAGCACTGAACACTATGGAGAAAGGAGAAACATGGAATTAATTTTAAAAAGGATAATGTAGACACTATTCTTAAAAGAAATTTTAGGAGGCTGGGTGCGGTGGCTCACGCCTGTAATCCCAGCACTTTGGGAAGCTGAGGTGGATCACCTGAGGTCAGGAGTTTGAGATCAGCCTGGCCAACATGGCAAAATCTCATCTCTACTAAAAATACAAAAATTAGCCGGGTGTGGTGGCGCACACCTGTAGTCCCAGCTACTTGAGAGGTTGAGGCAGGAGGATCACTTGAACCAGGAGGTGGAGGTTGCAGTGGGCCAAGATTGCACCACTGCACTCCAGCCTGGGTGACAGAGCGAGACCCTGTCTCAAAAAAAAAAAAGAAGAAGAAGAAGAAGAAGAAGAAATTTTAAAAGATACAGCAAAGAAGATATTCTTTCAGTCCTGGGAAATCCCATGACTATTGCTCGAATATATACTTCTATTCCAGGGTTTCATGATTCATTCCCAACCTTTTTTCCATGTGAGTGTAAGCAGATACGCACAGGGACATCCCATGAACAGAACAAATGGCAGTGAGTCACCTGGAGAGACGCTTTCCCAGCCATAATCACCGATGTTGCCCAACTTGACTACAAGTAGTTTCCAAGATGAGTTATAGTACACTCAAAAATTATACTCTTCAGCATAGTAAAGTCATTAACATTTAGTTATCCATGCTTCCAAATATTCTAGGCCTTGGGTGTTTCAGAGATTTTGTTGTACTGTGGACAGATTTCAGGAGGATTTTCACACACACGCCATCCTAAATTTTTCAGAGCCTCATTGAATGGGCATATTTGTTTCCTAAAAATGTTAAATTTAGAGACAGGGTATTTTTATGTTTGAGAACAGTTTGCAAAACAGTCTCAAAAACTCAGGAAAACTAATTTAGCTAATCTGGTAGGAAAAAAAACACAAAGAACAAACAATAAAAATAAAGAACAACACTAATAACACCTCATACTCCAGCATAGAAGCAAATATTAGAAAAATGTTTTCTTATATGATCTTGTACATTTAATCTTCACCTACCCTCTTTGTAAACCCAAGCTGACAAAATCTTTTCAGAAATATTTTATTATAACGTTTATTACCTAGAAGAACTAAAGACCTAATATCTAATGAACGTTTTTTTCTTTTCTAAAATAGTATTGAGATGTAGATAAGTACAAAGCTCTAGAGGCAGAGAGGCTGAACAAAAATCCCATCTTCCTTACTTACTAGCTGAGTGAATCTGGTTAATAACAATAAAATATTTGATAATGTGTGGCAAAGCAAGTCCCCACAGCCACATATTTGCCTGAACAAAACCTGGTTCATGCCAAATAGGTATTACTCAATGTCACGCAAAAGGTTAGTGTCATAAATCGTATGCCTTAATAAGAAAATATAAGAATTATGTAATATTAACAGTGAACACACAAAAAATATTTAGTAAAAATCAGCATATATTTTAATCTCAGTAAGGGAAATGAGTAGACTGCCAAGGTAAACATTTTGTAACCATAGAAAAATTAACTATATTCTCATTCCAAAAATCAACATTTGGAAAACAAGCTGTTAATAAATGGAGACTCATAGCATACATGTTAGCTAATGCAATGAAGGCTTTAGAGCTCTACACACAGGGAAAGTTTAGAGAAATTTTTAAAAATCACAAGAAACATAAGAATTGAGTACTAGATTTTCCTTTCTTTTCTTCTTTACTTCCACCCTTCTTCCCTTCCTTCTTCCGTTGTCTTTCATTCCTTCCTTCTTTTTTTTTTTGAGATGGAGTTTCACTTTTGTTACCCAGGCTGAAGTACAATGGCGCGATCTCAGCTCACTGCAACTTCCGCCTCCCGGGTTCAAGCGATTCTTCTGCCTCAGCCTCCCAAGTAGCTGGGTTTACAGGCACCCACCACCACGCCTGGCTAATGTTTTGTATTTTTAATAGAGACAGGGTTTCACCATGTTGGCCAGGCTGGTCTCGAACTCCTGACCTCAGGTGATCTGCCCACCTTGGCCTCCGAAAGTGCTGAGATTACAGGCGTGAACCACCATTCCTTTTCTTATTTCCTTTCTTTTCTTCTTCCCTTCCCTTCCCTCTCCTCCTCCCCTTCCCTCCGTTCCTTCCTTGTTTCTTTCTCTTTTTTCCTTCCTTTCCTTCTTTTTTCTTTTCTTCTCTCCTTCTTTCTATGTACACAAAGCCAAAGTTCACTGGCTCCAGTGTATGATGATTTAAAACTTAGTCATGACTAAATAACAAGCCCAGGCCCATGTCTGCAATAACAGTCTTGCTCAGTGAGAAAGGTCTGTGGAACTCAAAAGATGAAAACAAGAAATGAGTGTTGTTTACATTTATCACAATTTGAAAATGGCAGAGAAAGAACAAGAATAGACTTCTTTAAATGCCCCAAAGTAGTATATTACACGAGGTAAATTTTGCGACAATTTTGCTAAAAGACATTATATCATATACTTTCCATCCCCAAGGGATGTTGCCTGAGTGATACCATAAGAGCCTGATGAGCAAAGTCAAAAGTTCTTTGTTTTCTGGAAATTATATGATCTAGTTAAACAAAGGAACACAGAGGGGGGGAGAGTTCTTTGTCTTGATGTGATTTTTCTGAAACGTAATTGATATGTTACTAAATCTCTGACCACACTGTTCAGGTAGCAACCGTGTATAGAAAGGATTTTGCCCGTGAGCTGATCACTATTTCAGTCAACAACTGTATGACCAAGTAAGGACTTAAACCATTCCCTTGCCCCTTTCTTAGGGTTATCGAAGTTTTTTCCTTAAAGATGAAGTATACTAGATTTGGGCCCAAGGGTCTAAAATGTCTATTTCTTTGTATCTCTCAATAGCACATAGATATGCTTAACTTTGGCTCCTTGGAGAAATTTCAGGTGCTAAGTATGCAGATTCTTCAGGTTTTAAGCTAATAACCTGGAAAGAAGAGAGATGTCTGGGTTACTTTTGTTTTGTTTTTCTTTCTCCTACAGCTGTTGTACTTCAGGGTAGGATGATATCACTCAAAAACTTCGGCCTCCCTATAATAAAGTTCAGTTAAGTCTATAGTCACTGGTCTGTCATAGATACTAATTTTGTCCTCACTCATTACTGTGGCTTTTCTGGAATTGACCAAGTGCTCTGCTCTTTTTGATTATTCTAATTGACAGCTTTAATCATTGGTGGTTCCTTACCTTGTGCCTATGCATATACCTTTGAGTTGAGGGTAGAATGTTGGACACTACAGGCTCTGAAGCTGTTGTTCCATTCTCTGACTTATAAGCCCTGTGAGGATTTAAACTATGTATCTGTGCTTTTCTCTCTGAAGTACAGACTTCTGTTTGTTAGTGCCTAGAGTTTCCTGCTTCCTTCCTCAGATCATTCGTTTATCCTCCCACATCTCCTCCAAAACAATTCTGCTTTCTGTTCCCTGGTTAAAGATGTGATGAATAACAGCCATCTGTGGCCAACTGCCCACTGACTTTTGAACAGAAATTGAGACACCAAGAGCATGCAATAAGATCCAACCATAAAACCATAAACTTTTTCTCTTTCTCTCTCCCTTCCTCCCTCTGTGCTCTCTTCCTTTCGCCCTCTTTGTCACACACTTTCTCTTTCTCACTCTCTTCCCCTCTCTCTCCCCTGCTGTGTCTCTCTGCTTCCCTCTCTCCTTCCCTTCTCTCAATCTCTGTCTCTCCTACCTTTCCCTTGTCTGCTATCATCCTGCCTTTTTCGTTCTCTCCTTCCCTCCCTTTCTTTCCTACATCTTCATTCATTCAAAAATGAACTTTGAAGAATACATGACTTCTTCATACATGAACGTTTTAACACTTACACTTTTTTGTGTAATTTGTGGAGTCAGTGAAATGAAACAAAATGACTATTTTTCAAATTGCATAAAAAATTTCCTTGAACGATTATAGTCACTAAATACTAAAAATCATCATCCTGAATCTCTTCTAACATGGAATGATATTTGCTTCTATTCTTGTAATGTTAAAAAACAGCACAGTGTGATAATATTTTGTATGAAAAATAACTGTGTCAAGATAAATTTGGGAAAAGAGTAGTACTGTAGCCTATATTTAAAAATTCAATATTATTTTGGTCTCAAATATAATTAAAGATTTTTTAAAATTATACTAATGTTCTTTGTTCCTTTCGTAGTGTAGAATGCACCTAAACTTGCCACTTCGATCACTGAAAACTTCTCTTTGTCACTCATTTAATGTGACCTTCTTAAAACCAGGAATTCTTTTTTTTATTATTAAACGTTAAGTTCTAGAGTACATGTGCATAATGTGCAGGTTTGTTACATAGGTATACATGTGTCATGTTGGTTTGCTGCACCCATCAACTTGTCATCTACATTAGGTATTTCTCCTAATGCTATCCCTCCCCCAACCCGCACCACCGGTCAGGCCCCAGTGTGTGATGTTCCCCACCCTGTGTCCAAGTGTTCTCATTGTTCAACTCCCACCTATGAGTGAGAACATGAGGTATTTGGTTGTCTGTCAATGGGAGAAAACTTTTGCAATCTACCCATCTGACAAAGGGCTAATATACAGAACCTACAAAGAACTCAAGCAAATTTACAAAAAAAACAAACCAGGAATTCTAAACTTATCCTCTGAGCTTATGATTCTGAAATATTTTTGCTTTACTTTTTGAGAAGAATATTTTCACTTAGAGTTTAAGATATTGTTTTATTTACATCATGGCCATGATTCATACAATGCTTTGTGGATTTCAGATAGCTTCAGGATATTGCTGGCTAACTGTGTACCTAAATAATGTCAGTAAATCCTGGATAATAGGGATAGGGAGAAACGCCAAACATGTGACGTTTGTTTTAGGAACACAGCCGCCTAATAGCAAAGACATGCCATAAAAATTCAATATAACCTCTGTGTTTTTGGATATTCATTATGCTACTTATCATGAAAAGCCTGGGGAAAGTATTGTAACAGAGAAATCTATTTGCCTGCGTGTAGCATAATGCTTCCCTAATTATTTTTCTTTCTGTTTTTTTCTTTTTCTTTTTTTTTTTTTTTTTTGAGACGGAGTCTCGCTGTGTTGCCTAGGCTGGAGTGCAGTGGCGCGATCTTGGCTCACTGCAAGCTCCGCCTCTGGGTTCATGCCATTCTCCTGCCTCAGCCTCTCAAGTAGCTGGGACTACAGGCATCCGCCACCATGCCCGGCTAATTTTTTGTATATTTAGTAGAGACGGGGTTTCACCATGTTAGCCAGGATGGTCTCGATCTCCTGACCTTATGATCCTCCTGCCTTGGCCTCCCAAAGTGCTGGGATTACAGGCGTGAGCCACCATGCCTGGCCTCATTTGGGCAGTTTTTTTTTTTTTTTTTTTTTTAAGTTTTAGGGTACATATGCACAAAGTGCAGGTTAGTTACATATGTATACATGTGCCATGTTGGTGTGCTGCACCCATTAACTATCATTTAACCTTAGGTATATCTCCTAATGCTATCCCTCCCCCTTCCCCCCACCCCACAACAGGCCCCAGTGTCTGATGTTTCCCTTCCTGTGTCCATGTGTTCTCATTGTTCAATTCCCACCTATGAGTCAGAACATGCAGTGTTTGGTTTTTTGTCCTTGAGATAGTTTGCTGAGAATGATGGTTTCCAGCTTCATCCATGTCCCTACAAAGGACATGAACTCATCCTTTTTTATGGCTGCATAGTATTCCATGGTGTATATGTGCCACATTTTCTTAATCCAGTCTATCATTGTTGGACATTTGGGTTGGTTCCAAGTCTTTGCTATTGTGAATACTGCCACAATAAACATATGCGTGCATGTGTCTTTACAGCAGCATGATTTATAATCCTTTTGGTATACACCCAGTAATGGGATGGCTGGGTCAAATGGTATTTCTAGTTCTAGATCCCAGAGGAATCACCACACTGACTTCCACAATGGTTGAACTAGTTTACAGTCCCACCAACAGTGTAAAAGTGTTCCTATATCTCCACATCCTCTCCAGCACTGTTGTTTCCTGACTTTTTAATGATTGTCATTTTAACTGGTGTGAGATGGTATCTCATTGTGGTTTTGATTTGCATTTCTCTGATGGCCAGTGATGATGAGCATTTTTTCATGTGTCTTTTGGCTGCATAAATGTCTTCTTTTGAGAAGTGTCTGTTCACATCCTTTGCCCACTTTTTGATGGGGTTGTTTGATTTTTTCTTGTAAACTTGTTTGAGTTCAGTGTAGATTCTGGATATTAGCCCTTTTTCAGATGAGTAGATTGCAAAAATTTTCTCCCATTCTGTAGGTTGCCTGTTCACTGTGATGGTAGTTTCTTTTGCTGTGCAGAAGCTCCTTAGCTTAATTAGATCCCATTTGTCAATTTTGACTTTTGTTGCCATTGCTTTTGGTGTTTTAGACATGAAGTCCTTGCCCATGCCTATGTCCTGAATGGTATTGCACAGGTTTTCTTCTAGGGTTTTTAGGGTTTTAGGTCTAACATTTAAGTCTTTAATCCATCTTGAATGAATTTTTGTCTAAGGTGTAAGGAAAGGATCTAGTTTCAGCTTTCTACATAAGGCTAGCCAGTTTTCCCAGCACCATTTATTAAATAGGGAATCCTTTCCCCATTTCTTGTTTTTCTCAGGTTTGTCAAAGATCAGATAGTTGTAGATATGCAGCATTATTTCTGAGGGCTCTGTTCTATTCCATTGGTCTGTATCTTGTTTTGGTACCAGTACCATGCTGTTTTGGTTACTGTAGCCTTGTAGTATAGTTTGAAGTCAAATAGTGTGATGCCTCCAGCTTTGTTCTTTTGGCTTAGGATTGACTTGGCAATGCAGGCCCTTTTTTGGTTCCATATGAACTTTAGTTTTTTCCAATTCTGTGAAGAAAGTTATTGGTAGCTTGATGGGGATGGCATTGAATCTATAAATTACCTTGGGCAGTATGGCCATGTTCACGATATTGATTCCTCCTACCCATGAGCATGGAATGTTCCTCCATTTGTTTGTATCCTCTTTTATTTCATTGAGCAGTGGTTTGTAGTTCTCCTTGAAGAGGTCCTTCACGTCCCTTGTAAGTTGGATTCCTAGGTATTTTATTCCCTTTGAAGCAATTGTGAATGGGAGTTCACTCATGATTTGGCTCTCTGTTTGTCTGTTATTGGTGTATAAGAATGCTTGTGATTTTTGCACATTGATTTTGTATCCTGAGACTTTGCTGAAGTTGCCTATCCGCTTAAGGAGATTTTGGGCTGTGACGATGCGGTTTTCTAGATATACAATCATGTTGTCTGCAAACAGGGACAGTTTGACTTCCTCTTTTCCTAATTGAATACCCTTTATTTCCTTCTCCTGCCTGATTGCCCTGGCCAGAACTTCCAACACTATGTTGAACAGGAGTGGTGAGAGAGGGCATCCCTGTCTTGTGCCAGTTTTCAAAGGGAATGCTTCCAGTTTTTGCCCATGCAGTATAATATTGGCTGTGGGTTTGTCATAGATAGCTCTTATTATTTTGAGATACGTCCCATCAATACCTAATTTATTGAGAGTTTTTAGCATGAAGGGTTGTTGAATTTTGTCAAAGTCCTTTTCTGCATCTGGGCAGTTTTAAATGTATTGATGATGAATGAAATTCTTCGTAGTGGTAGTTTGGTAGAATTATCCCAGGTTATATTACAAATTTGAACTGTTTGGCTGTTAAAATCACATATCATTATTAAAGTTTGCTATCCAAGAAAGTGTGAATAAAGCAGTGCTCATGAAAATAGCACCGTTTTCATGCTGCTGATAAAGACACACACGAGACCGGGAAGAAGAGGAGGTTTAATTGGATTTACAGTTCCACATGGCTGGAGAGGCCTCAGAATCACGGCGGGAAGCAAAAGGCACTTCTTACGTGGCAGCAGCAAGAGAACATGAGGAAGAAGCAAATGCAGAATCCCCTGATAAACCCTTCAGATCTCGTGAGACTTATTCACTTTCACAAGAATAGCAGGGGAAAGACTGTCCGCCATGATTCAATTACCTCCCCCTAGATCCCTCCATACATGGGAGTTCTGGGAGAAATAATTCAAGTTGAGATTTGGGTGGTGACACAGCCAAACCATATCAACTACCATGGCCTACTCTGAAATATTCCTATGTTACATAGAAAGAGAATTGGATGTTTCATCTCAGAAAAAAAAAAAGAGCAAAATATCTTCATATCTTTACCAAAATTTTAAATACATAAAAGCAATGTCACTCTTTCTAGACATTTCATTGACACATGTAGCTAATAAAGGAGAGCTGGGACAGGAAATTTGAGATTTTTATACGCAAACTCTATGTCTATTTATGTTTGTTAACATGTTTTCAAATAATAATAATAAAAGCAGCTTGTATTAGTAGCATTTGTGAAACTTGGTAATACAATACCAATGAAGTCTCCAGAGACCATTAAATCACTTTTAGAGGGCATAGGATTTCATTGTTTCTCTCAACATGGATTTCATAGAACCCTATTTCTACAAGATACACCGCAAATAAAACAGGCTTCTATGATCGAAATGAGAAACCTATGCGTACTCTATCTCCTTATCGAAAATTCGTAATAAAGAAAGTATGAATGTCCTGAAAATCCTGCAGTAAAGAAACTAGTATTTCCCAAATGTATTTGACCAGAAGACTTTTTCCCCTCCTAATACCTATTACCGTCTCACAGATTGAATGTTCAGTGAATAGGCTTTGAGGAACACTTAACTATTTTTATGGTCATTTCATTCTTCTGCTGGGAAGATGCTCTAAGGATAAGCTGAAAAAACTGATGACGATCAGAAAAAAAAATTTCACTTCTGTGAGGCGATTGTGTTTAAAACTATCAAAAGGTTTCTCATCACAGATGAGTAGTGAAGGAAGCCATTCTTTCCTATGGTGAGCAGGTTTAGGAAATATAGGCAGCGAGGGTTTTCTGGAAGCTGGTAGTTCACAGGGCTCAGAAGGAGACATAATGCTTCTCTGTGGAAGTCTCGACCAACTAGTTGTGGTCCTTTGATGTCAGATTTGCTCTAAATCTCCAAAGTAATAGAGAATAATAACTGGTCTAGATTTTATCGATGAAAGGATTGTTGACTACCAAAGAAAATACAGGTGTATGTTTCCATTAGGATTGGAAAAATACAAGGATTGGTCCAAATACTAATTGCATTTGAAATTGGCTAATTTATACTTGGTACCTTATTCATTAGGGATTTAAAAAAAAAAAGAAAAGAAAAACAGAGAAAGTTGTATGAATAAAAGAAAATGGAGTGCTCAAACTTAAATATGTGGAAGAACCTCACTTACATGGCAGAGGTCAGTAAACTACTGCCTGTGGGCCAAATCGACCCTCTGCCTGTTTTTGTTTTTCTTTTTGTTTTTTTGACATGGACTCTCACTCTGTCGCCCAGACTGGAGTGCAGTGGCACAATCTCTGCTCACTGCAACCTCTGCCTCCCGGGTTCAAGCGATTCTCCTGCTTCAGCCTACCAAGTACCTAGGACCACAGGTGCACACCACCACGCCCAACTAATTTTTGTATTTTTAGTAGAGACGGAATTCACCATGTTTGCCAGGATGGTCTCGAACTCTTGACCTTGTAATCTACCCACCTTGGCCTCCCAAAGTGTTGGGATTACAGGCATGAGCCACTGTGCTCGGCCTCTGCCTGTTTTTATGAATAAAGATTTATTGGAATACAGGCACAATTATTTGTATACATAGTGTCTATGGCTGTTTTTGCACCGTAACAGCAGAGCTAACTAGTCACAACAGAGATCATATGGCACACGAAGGCTAAAATACGTACACTTCAGTCCTTTATGGAAAAAGTTTGCCGACCCCTGGTTTGCAAAGGATATTGCGTTTCTCTTGATAAGTGCAGTGAATCAGAGTGGATGGAGAGTAATCATGGAAAGGAGGCGGCTGTTTTGGACAGCGAAGTTTCCTGCACAGAGATGACATTTGAGCAAAGAGAGACAACTCAAAAAATTGGGGAAGTGAGCCTGTGAAAATCAGAAGATTAGGGGAGGCGTTTCCTCGGCAGAAGGACTCAATGTGGGAAGTTTGGAAAACAGCTGTGAATCCAGGGTAAGGAAAGTGACGTGAGTGTTGCGTGGGTGGTAGGAGATGAGGTCTTAGGGACACGGCCAGATCGCAACAACTTCTCAGCTACAGTAAATCAGGATTTGGGGTGATAGGAAGGCGTTGAATTATTCTGAGTGAGAGAAGTAACGTGAACTGACTGGTTTTATAGCGATCATTCTGGCTATTTTTTTCAAAACTGATTGCAGAGAAACAAAAAAGAATGCAAGCGACAATTCCAAATTTAAAAAGAAACACGATATTTATCCTATCATTAGCTTACAAAAATACTATTGATTAAGCACCTGTCCATCAGCAAGGGCCATAAGACAAAGCAATCATTTCAACTCTGACTGCTCATTAAAAATCTCCTGGACACATTTTTAAATATACCCGTGCTAGAGTCCACAAAGAGATTCTGATTTAATTTAATTGAGATGAGGCTTGAGCATCGGTTGATGGATTGTTTGTTTAAAAGCTCTCCAAATCTCTCTAATGGGCAACTGGAATTGAGAACCATTGCTTTAGAGAAAAGTATTGAAAGAGAAAAACATGTTAATTTTATATAACTGATAGTATGGTACTGTAAAAAAAAAAAAAAGAGGTAGATCATAAACAACATGAATTATATAAGATTTCATTCTTCCTGGGGACCCTTATAACCTTCTCAATTTTTTTTTTTAGTTTCCTGGACAGTTTTAAAATCAAATCAGGGACCCATTAGTCTGAAGCAGCCACAACTCTGCTTAGAAGCTGTGTCAGCATCAAATGGCCTTTAGAGATCTCAAGCAGCCTCTTGATTCTGTTATTTGAATCAATTTGTACTCCATTTATGACCTGATGGTGTTTGCTGGCAGGGAATTTCATAGGTTGGGAGTTTTAAACACATCATCTGCAGCCAGGTCATGGACTGAAAGATAGGCTCAGAGGCCCCTGCAGCTCTGCCTACACAGTTGTCCCTGGGAGCCAGTTTCCACAGAAATGCAACAATATTATTCTCCATATGTAAGCATGTGGACCGACCTTCATAGCCTCAGGCATAGCCATTAAATGAGGTCATGTGTGCTGACGTGATATGTTGAAAGACATAAACATAGAATTAATCAGGAGAAAGGAGACCTTATTACTTAATGTGAACATGATTTACTTGGCTTACATCATGCATACGATCGAACTCTATGTTTTGACTGTAGGAAAATAAAAGACATATTTTGACTTTCGAAAGATGCTCAATTGACTACAGTGTTCACCAGCATGTCTTAGGAATAGAAGAAATCAACATACATCTAAAAGAAGGCTAAAAGAAGGCTAGCAGCATGTCTAGTGAAAATCAGGCAGCAGGCCTTAAATACACTGTCCCATCATCTCCTTCCCCTATTTGCACTTTACTTTGATTTATGTTTTCATTCAAGAGGAAACTGAGCCTGTTTTCTAGAGCCTTCACTTCTCAACTTGTCAACTTGAGAAACAGTAGGAATGGCGTAGACAGAGGAAGACAGCAAAAAGAGGTAGGAACTACGTAAATATTGAGGAGAAAGTAGAAGTTCATTGGGCCATCAGATTTTAGAAACTATTTGAGAGATGACTGAGAACTATTTTAATGTTTTAGGGTACATGACAATATCAAAACCAAAGGTGTTAAATAAGCATAGATATTTATAGATTCATTTTTTCCCATTCCTCTTAGAAACGAAAAATAAGATTGATGGAGTCCCAGAGAGAAGAAAAATTCCATTGCTACAAATTAGACAGGGCATCATATTTAAGACCTGAAATGTGTGAGCACCCAGTAGTCAAATATTTGCATTTTAACTTTATGTGATTAAAAAAAATAAATAAATTCTATGCATTTTGGAAATATGCCAAATAAATGAATCATTACAGCATCAAGTATCTTTTATATGGCACCAGATCTTAAAACACAAGGCAGTAGAGCAGAGCTCTGGGAAAATACAATTTCCTCCTCCGTTCGTCTGTTTTCTGCATTGTCCAGTTGCTGTGTGTTAAAATGCTGCTTAAAAAAATAAAAAACTGTTTTAGTTACTCCTACAGGAACTTTTAAATTGGTAAAGCCCAATTGTCCGGACAATGACATTTTAAAAAAAAATCTAAGAACCTGTTTTATAGACAAGTCTGGAAAAGTGAAAATAATGAAGATTGAAAACGGGTCAGTCCTTTTGGTCCACTAACAAGGTTTCTCATTTCAGAGATTAACTCTTGATAGGTAATTGAATACTGGACAGTAAAATTTGATATGATGTCATTTTCGAGAAAAGTGTAAAACCTGCTGGACTAATAATAAAGGAAAACCAAGGTGTAGAATTAGTCTCTTTTACCAATTTATCTCTACACAGCAAAACGTGTTTCCTACGCACATTCATACAGTAGGAAAATAATGATAGAATGTGAAGCAAGATGCAGGCATGTTTTGCAGATATTATAGGTTCCATTCCAGACCACTGCAATAAAGCAAATGTCCCAGTAAGGGACTCACACAAGTATTTTGGTTTCCCAGTGCATATAAAAGTTATGTTTACACTATACTGTAGTCAAGTATGCAACAGCATTCTGTCTTTTAAAAAGTGCATATCTTAATTTAAAAATACTTTATTCCTAAAAAATGTTAACAATCATCTGAACTTTCAGCAGCTCAATCTTTTTGCTGGTGGAGGGTCTTGCCTTGATATTGATGCAGCTGACTGATGGGAGTAATAGTTGGAATGGCCATGGCAATTTCTTAAAATAAGTCAACAATAAAGTTTGCTGCATTGATAGACTCTTCCTTTCACAAAACGCTTCTCTGTAGCTTGCAGTGCTGTTTGACAGCATTTTCCCCAGAGTAGCATATCTTTCAGAATTACAGTCAATTCTCCCACTCCTTTGTCAACTAAATTTTTGTAATATTCAAAGTTCTTTGTTGTCATTTTAACAATGTGCACAGTATCTTCATCAGGAGTAGATGCCATCTGAAAGAACCATTTTATTTGTTTATCCACAAGAAACAACTCCTCGCTGGGCACAGTGGCTCACTCTTGTAATCCCAGCACTTTGGGAGGCCGAGGCGGGCGGATCACCTGAGGTCAGGAGTTCAAGACCAGCCTGACCAACATGGAGAAACCCCATCTCTACTAAAAATACAAAAATTAGTCAGGTGTGGAGGCGCATGCCTGTAATCCCAGCTACTCGGGAGGCTGAGGCAGGAGAATTGCTTGAACCCGGGAGGTGGAGTTTGCAGTGAGCCGAGATCGAGCCATTGCACTCCAGCCTGGGCAACAAGAGTGAAACTCTGTCTCAAAAAAGAAAAGAAAAAACAACTCCTCATCCATTCAGGTTTTATCATGAGATTGCAGCCATTCAGCCACATCTTTAAGCCCCACTTCTAATTCTAGTTGTGGGGATATTTTCCACTGAAGTCTTGGACCCCTCAAAGTCATCCATGAGGATTGGAATCAAATTCTCCCAAATGCCTGTTCATGTTGATATTTTTACCTCCTTCCATGAGTCATGAATTCTCTTAGTGGTATCTAGAATAGTGAATTCTTTCCAGAAGGCTCTTAATGTACTTTACCTAGATCTATCAAAGAAATTCTATCCATGGCAGCTATAGCCTTACAAAATGTATTTCTTAAATAATAAGGCTTGAGGGTGAGCCGGGGGGGGTCACGCCTGTAATCCCAGCATTTTGGGAGGCCAAGGCGGGTGGATCGCTTGAGCTCAGGAGTTCAAGACCAACCTAAGCAACACGACGAAACACCATCTCTACAGAAAATACAAAAATTCGCCAGGTGTGTTGGAGCAGGGCCTGTAGTCCCAGCTACTCAGGAGGCTGAGGTGAGAAGATTGCCTGAGCCTGGGAGTTTGAGGCTGCAGTAAGCCACGAGACTGCAAGTGCACTCCAGCCTGGGCAGCAGAGTGAGACCCTGTCTCGAAAAATACTACTAATAATAAAACTTGAAAGTGGAAATTACTTCTTGAACCATCAGCTGCACAGTGGATGTGGTGTTAGCAGGCATGAAAACAATGTGAATTTCCTTGTAAGTCACCTTGCCAACACTTAACCTAGGTCCCCAGCCAAATCCTTCTTTGTGCCTCTTGCTTTCTCTCTTAAACATATACATACACACATGTGCATGAACACACACACACACACACATTCTCAATACTAACTGTCATGCCTGCACGTTTTTACAGCTCCAAAGAAAACACTAATAAACTTTGTGAATTGAAATGGAGAAACTCAAATTACTGGTTTTCTTCATACTGCATATGTTTAAAATCTAGAGCAGTGACATCTTGGGTTATAGAGAGTTATCTGATAAAAAGAGCAGTGGTTTAGAACTCACTGTTCCATCTCACCTCTATTGTTAGCTAGTTATGACATCATCCTCATTTGTAAAAGTATGGCATTAAATAGGAGTTTGTTCTATTGCCAACAAACCATGATTGTGGCTGGGCGCAGTGGCTCACGCCTGTAATCCCAGTACTTTGGGAGGCCGAGGCAGGTGGATCACCTGAGGTCAGAAGTTCGCGACAAGCCTGTCCAACATGGTGAAACTCCATCTCAATTAAAAAGACCAAAAACAAAACAAAACAAAACAAAATTAGCCGGGCATGGTGGCACAGGCCTGTAATCGCAGCTGCTCGGGAGGCTGAGGCAGAAGAATTGCTTGAACCCAGGAGGCGGAGATTGCAGTGAGCCGAGATCGTGCCATTGCACTCCAGCCTGGGCAACAAGAGTGAAACTCCATCTCAAGAAAAACAAAACCAAACCAAAACAAACAAACAAAAATATGATTCCTTAGGAACATCCACTTTTTCTTTTCCTCTGGAATGAACACAGTGTATTTGGAAAAAATTGTTGCCATTTTTTTCAGTATGTGTTCCCAAAAGAGAGATATAATTGAGTCAACAGAGCATGTCAAAATTTATAGGACAAAAACACCTGACATTGTACATAATTAAAGATATCAGCCTACCTATAATTGCATAATCTCATTTCAGTCTGTGAGTTTCAGAAATTTCTTTTAAAAATCAGTTTCTTGCCACTTTGAGGAAGAAAGTTAGAGACTTGTGGAACTTATAGTTGGATTTATCACTTTTTAAACATTTGACTGACCATTAATTGGAAAAGCCAACTTGGTTGTTAACTTTTTACATATGAGACAGGCATTTGTGATTGGTTTAGGTAAGTTTAGCTGTTAATCCATGCTTTTTCTTGATCTGTAACTACCTTAATAGAAGTTTCCACTGTGGAAATGTGACAGTCCCCAAACCCTATTCCAAAGATTTCTTTCATCCTGCCCATTAAGCCTTACTGAGCCCCAGAACACCCTTACACATTTTCAGTAAGAGCCTCGCCATTTTTATCAAAGAGAAACTAGAGTCATGGGTCAAAAAACTCCTTCAAGTCCCTGTCCTCTCCTCACAAATGTGCACATTTTTTCATAAATTCTTCTTAGGCTTCATGGAATAGGAATGCCTGTTCTCTTCAATAGCTAACACATCCTGTACTTTGCATCTCATCTCATCCTACAGTTTTCAGTGGCTTTACTCCATCGTTCTTTCCAAATGTCTGTGCTATCAATAACTGTTCCTTCCAAACTGACTCTTTTCTTCAACTTACAAGTTAGATTCTCTCTCCCCTATGTTTGAAAAAGGAAAAAAAAAAAAAAAAAAAAAAAGGAAGAGAGGAACCTCCTCCAGCAGGACAGCAGCACAATTCCCCAGCAGTAGAGCACCACACAGCAGCTACTCTTGAAAGTGTTTCCCTTCTCAGGCCAGCTCCTTGTCAGCGCAGTCTAATGTCACTGTCTTCATTTTCTCACCTCCTGAGTAGACTTCATGTGACTCTGTCTTATATCTTCACCACTCTACTGGAACTACACTTAAAAATGTCACTAGTCATCTCCTAGTTGCCAAAACTGAATAACATTTGAGTCTTTTTCTCACCTGCTTTTTCACTGAGGCACTTTACACGTTCCCTACTCCTCTTCCTATGGGCAGAAGAGATTTTCCAGCCTCCATGGGTGTAAAGCAAAAATCAACCTTAAAATTGATTTAGAGTATTGCCTTTCTTAGTGCAAAGAATTTAATATTTCTCCAATGATGTTCGATAAAATGAAAATAAACCTGTTATGTGTATATGAGTTATAATATTGTACGATTAAAATAAGAATTCGAATGTCTCCATTAGCATGAGTGCATATAAGATGTATTGTATCATTTAGCGCTTAATGATATATTGTTTTATCACTGTTCACATTTTAATTTTTCTTAGGTGCATGTTTTGCTCTCAAATTAGATCACCATTCCCATGTCTACCATTTATTTAGGATATCTTTCATTAGTATTTTCCATAGTCAAGGACATGCAATAAATATCTGTTCTGAAGTTGCCTATAGTTAGGTCTCATTTTCAATATAATACATTATTGAGTTCATGATGATACTTTGTGTGAAAATAGATATATTTTGGTGAGGATGTTGAAATTGTGTGATTTTAGATTTTGTTTGATTTGCTCCATCATTTTCAAATATCAACCAAAGAATACTTTCCAATAAATAGATATTTTCTTCTTTTCAACAGGAGATTTGATAGAGAAGCAGAAAACCACTGGCATGAATATAAACAAATACAAGAGTTGTGATAAAATGTCACATATGAATTTCTAAGATCTGGTAGAAAAATATTTCTTTCTTTGGACTTATTTTCTATATAAATTACTGCAAGAAAACTATTACCTTTTATCTGTCCTGAATCTTTTTATGTCTCCATCTGCTCTACTCAGCTTTAGGAGGCTGTCACTTTCATGGCCCCTATCCTCCACTTGCCACCCCACTTCCCCACCCACGTTCCCTTTCCCAAGCCCTACAGATAGGTAAGCATATCACCCGTTCTAACCCATCAGTCCGTATCCCCCTGACCACAATTACACATGATTTTTTTTTCTTTTTTCTCAGAACATTCTTTCTAAAGCAGATGTATGTCTTGAATTTCAGGTAGCCATATTTGCCATGGCATTGAGAAATCTTACCTGGAAACAAAGTCATCACAAAGACAGGTAGAGACAAGAGAGACAGAGTTGTGACATCAATGCTTGATTCTTTTCTTTTTTTTTTTTTTTTTTTTTTTTTTTTTTTTTGAGACGGAGTCTCGCTCTGTGGCCCAGGCTGGAGTGCAGTGGCGTGATCTTGGCTCACTGCAAGCTCCGCCTCCCGGGTTCACACCATTCTCCTGCCTCAGCCTCCCGAGTAGCTGGGACTACAGGCACCCGTCACCTCGCCCGGCTAATTTTTTCTATTTTGAGTAGAGATGGGGTTTCACCGTGTTAGCCAAGATGGTCTCGATCTCCTGACCTCGTGATCCGCCCGCCTCAGCCCTCAAAGTGCTGGGATTACAGGCGTGAGCCACTGTGCCTGGCCAATGCTTGATTCTTGAACACATCTGTGCCTCAGTCATCCTCTTGGACTTCTCAGTTATGTCACCAATACATTTTCTTTTTTGCTTAAGCTACTTTGAATAGTGTTTCTGAGAAGGACAACCTAAAGAGCTCAAACTCATGCCATAGCTTAATAAACCCTCAGTTGACTGACATGGAAGAAGCACTTATGCATTTTATAGATTATTCTCATTTGTTGTTTTCAATTTTTCAATATGTTTCATGCGACTTCATAGGATAGCAATTAGCCATACATGCCATGTTATAACTCTTTTAAACTTCAAAATGTATTGTGAATATATTTCTGCCTCAGTAATTATTCAAGCATAATATAATCTATTATTGGAAATTTAGCAGCAATAAAATGCAATTTACAAATCTAGTAGTTTGTAAAATTCTGTGATTTATAAACATTTTGCTTTTAGATTTAGAATTTTAACCAAGAAATAAATGTTGATTCTTTTCAGCCTTCCCATTGTCTAGATTTTTAAATTAATTACCAAATTTCCTAAAGCAACACTTTTCAGGTAAATGTTCCAATCTTTTTGTTCAATGGAGAAACTATGTTTTCAAGTTGAAAGTGTGTTCCCTTTTCACCTTCAAAAGTACTGCAGAAAAAAGGAAGACAGTGAGCACCACCACAAAATATAACCTAAAAATCATTTTTTTCAAAAGAATGAAAATGAGGGCAATAGCTTCTTGGACTCTAATATGTAATCATCACCTGACAACCATCACAGATGAAAGGTCTCCAATAACCATGTTTACTAGTAAATGGTAATTAAGCAGCATTGGAAATAATGATCACATATTTACTTCTCGTACCATTTACTTTTGGATTTCTTTTTAGGATCTATTTGATTTTTTTCAAAGGCCTTTGTTTCTCAAAGGCCACTAATGGCACAATCACATGTGAAATTCAGATAAACCTATTGGATCAGAATCTCAGTTGCAGGGAGGAAGGGAATTTGCCTTTCAACAAACTCCCAGAAGACTCATGCGCTCTCCAATTTGAGAACTATTGATCTAAGCAGGAACCTTGGCTTTCCTTTGGACTAACTTAGAGAATTTTATAAAATACTGATGCCTATATACCATTCCCACAGATTCTGAATACTATAATTGTTCCAGGGTGTGGCCTAGGTACCATAATTTTTTAAAAGGATTTCTTAAGGTGATTCGAGGTGAATCTAATGTTTAGTCATGGTTAAGAACCACCTATATGCACACGCAAATATCAGATAGCATTTAAATATGATATGAATAACTTAAAGATATCAAAAACAAATGTGGATTTAACCTTTGAATTTTCTGTTACTCAGTAACTACATTAAAGTATGCATTATTAAATATCAGCATGTTTTCCAAACAAATATTTTGGCATTCTTTAAGTTATACGTAGCTGAAAATTTGTTTGTGTGTCTTTCTGAGCAAGAAGAATTATTTAAAATCTAGAGATTCTATCCAAATAGATACTAACAAGAAATGCAAGGTTGCTGCCAATAAATAAAAATATACTTACTGAGTATCACTATGTTCCCTGCACTGACATGGGCATGGCAAAAGATACATAGGATAAAACTTTCCCTTTTTTGCTTTCACTGCTAGGAAGCTCAATGCCAAACTTGCTGCTGCATGATGACAGTAGCTGTACATCTAAGCTTTTTGTATTTTACTTCTCCCTACACTATATCCGTGGTTTTCAACGACTACAAATCACTACAAAAAGTTTTTTGTTTGTTTTTAATATGGATGCCTAGACTTTATCCCAAATTTATTAAATCAGACCGTATGGGGATAGTGGCCAGATACTTACATTGCATAAAACTCAACAGTTTATCCTTCTATGCACTTCTATTTTAAATCACTGCTCTACATCACTGGTTTTCAAACTTTAATATGTTTAAGAATCATCTAAGGGATTTGATAAACTGCAAATGGCCAGGTCTCTTCCACTATGATTTGGTAGGCCTTGGAGAAGACCTATGATCTGTATTGCTAAAAAGAACCACAGTGTTTCTGATACAGGTGTTTGATAAACCACACCTTAAACGCCATTGAGGAATGTAGATTTTATCTTATAATTGTATTTCTAGGTCATGTTTTGTTCATCCCTTTAATCGTAAACCATCAGAGTTTATCTAATAACTAAGGTCAATGTCTCTAGAGTCATAAAATACCTTAGAGATCACTGAATCCAGTGGTTTTCTAATGATTCTACGGAACTTATTTAGGCAGAGATTATGCCTTCTCTCACCCCACCAGGTTGCCCTGTAGCCTGATCAGAGTCTACTTAGGTCTCTTCTATAATTGGGTTACTGTATAAATACTCTTTGAAGAATTAGTTCTACGTTTTCAAGAACACCCTCGGGCCACCTAAAATGGTATACATTGAGAAAAACACAAAGGAGTCACAGCAAGCATGTAGTTCCACCATATCCCATCACGTTAAATGGCAAAAAAAAATCCATCTTGCATAGGTTTTTAACTCTCAGAGACTCAACAGATGGAAAGAGTGTACCCTACAATCTCCCGAGGCATATCTTTTCTTCTGAACTCAAGTCACCCTGGAGCAGCTGGGTCACCATTTCCCGAACTAGTGTTCTGTGAGATAAAAACAAAACAATAGATAAAAGGATCTTATGCTCAGATATGTTCGAGAAATGATTGGTTAAATCAAACTAAATATTCTTCTTTAGGAGCTCTCAAAGCTTTCAGTTTGCTAACAGATATCATAATGATTCAGTAAAAACTTATAAAAGTTAAAAATCGTAGAAAACAGAATTTTTGAAAATTGATTTGATTATTCAAACATTCCTCTCAAGCCATGCCTATTAAAATTAAAGTGAAAATCCTCTACTAACATCCTCACAATAACATTTTTGAAATATTAATATAAACCCACATGTATGCTTGAAATGAATTTATGATTGTATCAGGGCACACAGCGTCTCTTGCCATGCCATGATGTCTGTGGACCCAGTGAAGGTACCTGCACCTCCCATTCCTCTGTTCTCTTTTGCCACCTTATCTTTTTACACTAGTACAACACACGCCCATACAAAAGCCTGGAAAGACTGAGATTAAGACTCCCAAGCAAAACAAAATGCCTTTCATTCCCAAGCCCTCAACTTTCATCATAGCCCTTCCCCTGCTCCCCGAAGCCACCTGCACAGAGGATGTTGTCTCTCTGCAAGCAAACTGGAACACCGTAACTGGATTTCTGGCCAGATGGTCAAGCAGTCAGAGTGTGGAATGACCACTATATGCCTAACATTTTATTTGGTTCTGTGAGAGGTACAAAGTCAGAAGAAGACATCATTCCTGCATCCCAGAGCTTCAGTCTAATAAAGAAATGAGGCAGAAATTGTAGAAGGCTCAGAATAAAAGCATGCAATGTAAAGGTTTAAGATTCATTTTTTAATCTCAAGGACCTCACATTTTGGGGTGAAGATAGACATATATGACTATAATTGCCATGAGAACAAGGGGCCCAAGGTACAGTACAAAAGACTGAGTAATTCCACGGGAAGTGGGATTGAGAAAGAAGTCACAGAGAGAGGGGGACCAATTATCCCATGGAGAATGAATCAAATATTTCGAGGTAGAGGAGGAAGAGGTGACTGCTGAGCTGAAAAGCAGCATAGAGTTGAAGCTAACAGAGACAGAAACAGATCCAGGGATGCTTTTAAATCTTCATCTATGTTAAGAAAATGTAATTCTGTACAATGGGAAAGAATTGGTGTGAAATTATATGGCTCTCACTAGAATGATGATGCAGGGTCAAGGAAAGGAGAAATGGGTGGAGACTAGGGGGAGCCTCAGGACTGGAGCTGCTGTCCTGGAGACATCCAGGAGGACAGAACAGAATGAGCCAGTGTCGGGACAGAGCCCCATGAGCCGAGTTGGACAGAGAACTGTGGGAAAATCTTGGAGGCATGGGGCAATGCATTGATAGTCAATGACAGTTTGGGAAAACAACTGCAAAGCTGGGGCATTAACCGTACAGTGGGGCATGGAATTGAGTAGGCAGGGAGAGAGCCAAGAGCCCCACATACATTTGTATGAAGACAAATGTGTAAAAGACACATTTCTAAAATGACAAAACAAAACAAGGCAAGGAGTGTGGAATCAGCAAACAGCAGGAACTCCCAAAGTACAGGTTGAAAAATGGGCCACACCTGCATCAGACAAAAGCCAGGGGGATTCATACTTAAGCACGGCAAGTTATAGGCTTAAACTTGACAACATTAACAAAAACTCGTGATATGACAAATTTTTCCAGTAGAGCATCATTGAAAGCAATCTTGAGGTAAGCTCTAATGATTGCAGCAAAAACTGGAGGATCTCCTAGGATGAGAGACAAATGTAGGCAATTTTAAAGAAGAGAAGGAAAAATATATATATAAGAACGAGGCAATGGGACTATAAACACAGGAACCCTGAGGAAATATGAAGAACATAGAAAAATGGAAAGAACACAGATCTGCGAGGAAGAAGGACTGATTTCTAAATCTATGTTGCCCCTACTAAGTCTCAATTGTCATATTTGCTTAAAGACGAGGACACTTTTGATGGTGTCAATTCTCACTTGAGCTTTAAATTCTGGGACCTTCTGAGAAAAGATGGCACAGGGTGAGAAAGGAGGCAAACAGACTAAAACTGAGGTTCATTTGAATTTAGAGTGTCAAGGGTTTTATCTGAGATAAAAAGAAGGTATTTATTAAAATACAGAGGTAACTATTCAGATAACTAAAAGATGTTGGTATTCAATTACTAGTACAATGGTAGCTGCTACTAGTAATAAAAACATGTGCATCTATGTAGCACAAGTGTGTGATTTAGAGAATACTATTAAGGCTTAGAAAATAAAGGAGAAGAAAAGTATTTGTGGAGTATCTACCACTTGCCAACTTTGATGTCAGGTGTTTATATTCATAATGACTATAATTTCCCTATATCAAAAGAAAACTGTCATTTAAGAGACAATATTTGGAATATTAAGCATGGACATCTTTTCAATTTGTATCCAATCAGATTCTTCCTTGCCAAAATAATAATAATAATAATAATTGCCATACAGGGTGGCTCACACCTGTAATTCCAGCACTTTGAGAGGGCAAGGCAGGAGGATTGCCTGAACCTAGGAGTTCGAGAGCAGCCTGGGCAACATACCCAGACCCTGTCCCTACAAAAAATAAAAAGACTAGCCAGATGTGGTGGTGCATGCCTGTGGTACCACCTACTCAGGAGGCTGAGGCCTTCAGACCTTTCTTTAACTTGTTCTAAATAGAGGACAATCACTTGAGCCTGAGCCCAGGAGGTCAAGGCTACAGTGAGCTATGATTGTGCCACTGCACTACAGCCCAGGCAACAGTGAGACCCTATCACCCCAAAAATAAAAATTTTACATTTTAAAAACAGAAAAATAGTTTTTAGTGGGGAGGAGGAAGTTGGTTTTGCTTTATATACATTAAACTACAATCAGTTTGACCATGATAATGTGATTTTTTTTTTGCTATGACACAGTATAATAATGATATTGACTCAATACTTCAAAAATGTCCATAAAATGCAACAGTCTCACTTATCAGGTAGGCTTTATAACATCCCTCTCCCCTTCTGCCAAATACAGTCTCTCTGCCTCCCAGGGATTTCTTTAAATGAGACTGATAGAGAAAGCGAACCATTCTATCACCATATATTAGTCTTGAAGATGTCAGACAGTGAGTGTTAGCAGCATCATTCCCACTGCTGTTTGTTTTCCAAGTTTTCCTTTTCATCTAAATAAAAATACTCAGTCCTGTGAACTCTGAGAGCAAGATGTGCCATTTTCTTGCCCTGCCACATGGCTCCATCAATATTGATATGCAACTAACCCTCCAGGGCTGTCTGTGTTCCTGGCAACGTTTCAACACTAACATGTGGTTAATTTTCTAGAGGATTTTTCTTCCCATCCTGTGCTCAAGAGGAGCCGAAGAGTTTGTGGGAAACAGCCGCTTGACTCGTGCATCTATGGAGCTTGCATATTTCCCTGAGAGATAATGACCCTTTTTTTTTTTTACTGCACATTGTGTTCTAGGAACTTGGAAAGAGAAGCATATCCTAAATACTTAGCAGGGTTTCAAAACAATATTCCTGGACACATGGCATGTGAAAAAAAAGTCATAGAATTCTCAGCACTTACTTCCTGTCAATATTTAGCAATAAATGCATATGATCATATTTATAGCCATTTATATTCCATATGCATTGGTACATTATGTACTAAGCACAGAGATTGCGATAAATACTCAAAGTAGCTTCATTTTATTAAATTACTAATTTTGTCATGCCTGTAATCCCAGCACTTTGGGAGGCCGAGGCAGGCAGATCTCGAGGTCAGGAGACCAAGACCATCCTGGCTAACATGGTGAAACCCCGTCTCTACTAACAATACAAAAAAATTAGCCAAGCGAGGTGGTGGGTGCCTGTAGTCCAAGCTACTCAGGGGGCTAAGGCAGGAGAGTGGCATGAACCCGGGAGGTGAAGCTTGCAGTGAGCCAAGATCGCAGCACTGCACTCCAGCCTGGACGACAGAGCCAGACTCCATCTCAGAAAGAAAAAAAAATTACAAATTTTGGACCAACAGCACAAGGAAGATCTTAAGGCAAATACTGGAGATCTGACTTTTATTTTATTGTTATTATTATTTTTTGAGACAGAGTCTCTCTCTGTCGCCCAGGCTGGAGTGAAGTGGCGTGATCTCTGCTCACTGCAACCTCTGCCTCCAGGGTTCAAGGAATTCTCCTGTCTCAGCCTCCAGAGTACCTGGGATTACAGGTGTGCACCACCATACCTGGCTAATTTTTGTATTTTTAGGAGAGATGGGGTTTCACCATGTTGGCCAGGCTGACCTTGAACTCCTGACTTCAGGTGATTGGCCTCCCAAAGTGCTGGGATTATAGGGGTGAGCCACCGAACCCGGCCTTGATTTTTATTTTTATCATTATTTCTATTTTTTCCAGGTAGGACAATGAGTTATTTTGTTTTGCTTTAATTTCCAAAGTTTGTGAGGACAGTCTGCCAGAACACTGTTGCTGTGTTTTTGTTTTCAATAGCATAAGGAAACACCCCCTTAAAATTCCATTAAATAGAATAAAGACATTTCTTAGGATTGTTTAATTTACTTTCTATTTTTATAGCTGTAGTAAAATGCACATTTGGATTACGTTTTGCTGAGCAAATAACAGAATCTTAAAAATAATGAGATCATAATTCTTATTTTCCCCTCGGATGGGCCTTCTGAGTCTGTAATGGATCAGAGCTTTCAGTCCACAAGGACGTTTAGAATAAAAATATTCAGCCTTTTCTTTAAATTGTTTTAAAGAGAAGAACACGGATTTTGAATTATTTTATTACTAATGGTGACAGGATCTGTTAAAAGATCTATACTTTCTCATGTATTTGCCCTTTTAGTCATCAGTAAACATCTGTGGTTGAATAAAATGTAAATAAGAATTTTATCAAATTCAGCAATGGCACACATCAGAGCAGAAATCCGATTTCTGTTTAAATGGTCACAGAATGTTTAGGAAATGCCTAGCAATTAATCATAGTATTAATACTCCTTAGTACTGAAGATACTAATACTTCTTATAATTATAATTAGTATTATAATTCATTCTTTCTTCAATACTAAGAATCAAGGATTATCCACAAATAACAGAGAGATGAAACTATACCATCCTAGCAAAGATCCCTCCCCATCAGCTTATAAAACAAGTCTACTTCTCCAAATCACTTAAATGGCAAATTTAGGTTCACCTTGAAACAAATAAGGGCGATACTATGCCAGTACATGTCTCCTGCAAAGATGGCCCTGTGAGGTAGTAGGGATCACAGGAAGAGCAGAAAATGTTCATTTTATTTTTCCACTTTCAATATAATTTTACAAAAATGCATTTATTTCCTTCTAAAAATATAATAATGAAGACCTGGAAAAGACAAATGGTGAGTGAAGAGAAAAATAGAAAGACATGCATGCCAAACTTGGTAGACAAGGCAAACCTGCAAAAATCAATTCAATTCAGCGACTCTTTTGTGTTTAGTTGTGCCTTTCACTGTGCTTTGCAATAAGAACTGAGCTAGAGCTAGAGTCTTACATCACCCCCCAACTCCTTCAGAATTCTACACCTATTTTGTTAATATGTCTATGCCCTGTGATTTCCCATCACACCATGCGCTTCCATGGCTTCCTTCCTTCCATTTTACTCAAATTCAAGGCTCAATGTAATTGTCTTCTCTATGAAGCTGACCCTGGGCCATATCACCCAATCAGAATCTTTTTGTTTTGTTTGCTTTAATAGCACTTTGCTCAAACACTGGACGCATTCCTTTTTTTTTTTAGCTGGTTGTTTGCATGTTGATCCACCAGATGTAGTATCAACTCCTTAAGAGAGGATTTATTTATCTCTTGTGTATACTATATTATTGATCTAATAGTTGCTCGATATAGAAAGAAAAAATAAAAGAAAATAAACCCCAGCACCCTCCCTTTAACCAGAACTAATGAAAGAAGTGACAAATTTGCTCCAAGATTAACTAAAACATTCAAAGAGACTTACACTGGCACAACACCCATTTGTCACCTAATGTATGCAGTAAACGTGCAGAGTTTTCTAGGATATGTTTTAACCTTCTCTCCAGCTCCCCACTCCTGCAGTCAAAACCTAGGAAGCCAATCATTTATTAATATTACTATATTATGTAGACAACATACTCATTGGTAAGAAAAAAAAAAAGCAATCTCTGAATTCCTTTCTAGTGTTGAAATACTACTTTTACTACTTTGTGGTCTGGTTCTCTCATACGAAAATAATATAATTTTATCACTAAACACCATTTCATCTACCATGGGCTTCTGAGAACAGTAATACTGTATTGTCTTAAACCTCATCTTTTGAAAACACAGAAAGATTACTTTGAGGTATTAGTTTAAACCTCATTAAATATATATGCTATATATACCCTTCAAAACATAATATTTTAAGGAATCCTGAATCCCAAACTCATTTTAAAAGTCTGTTTAATATTTTTCTTAAGCTCTCTGACTCAAAAGATTTATCAGTCATAGTTTTATTTGTACTTATACAATTGATAACCAAAGAATTACTATTCATGATGGGAAATAGGTACAAGTCAACTCCACAGAAGACTCGAATATTAGTAACTATGACCATTTGAATTAAAAACCATAGAAACATATGGGTCCCTTTCATGGGTACATAGTTCATATGGAGAACAAGTTAGATACATATGTAAATAAAGAAAAATTTCTGTTCCCTGTGCCAGAGAGATTCCCTAGGCAGAAATTAGGGTTAAGAGTTATTACCATATTGGGAAAGAAGAAGCCATTGTTTGGTTTCCTTATGCACAAGGAAAAGGCAAACAAACAGGTCTTAATGATCTCAGGGAATTGGAGGATGAGTAACCTCAATATTTTGGAAGCAAAAGGCTATTTTTCAAATTTCCCTTTCCCTCAGAAATATTATACCACAAAGACGTTTTTGAGTTTTGACTAACTCCTGCAAGGACACAAACAATGAACCAGTCTACTGCCAACACATTTTCTAATCAGTGCACCTGAAAAGTTATCTTCCATTAAACAGAAAATGTCCTCATAGCTGTTTATGCTTTTTCCGTAGGAACTTTGACTTTTTTTAATCTCACCCATGGACTCAGGTCAAACTTTGACTTTTAGAGATTGCCAGATATATGCAGATGGTTATTAAAGATTAGGACTTAGTAGATAATTGCTAATTAATTTAAAAATATTTTTGAATCCTACTCTGTGCATAGACGCTACTGGGTACTTTAGGGGTTGCAGAGACACATCAGCCCAGTCTTTTCTCAGGTAGACTTTAAAAACTGCTTGAGGAGATAATATATGCAGAAAAGCTTAATAATATAAGGCAGCTATACTGATTACTTATCATCAAAAAGAGCTCAATGAAAGAAATAGTTATGTTAAAAATAAATGACATGTATTCTGGATCTGTCATCGAGTTTTGGAAAACTTAAAAATGGTGTCTTTTTCATGGTTAAGAAAAGATTAACGAGGAATTACAGCTATGATGCTAACTCCCTTAACTTTTTAATCAGAAGTATGGGCAGTTATCAGTCCATACCGGAGAGACCCACACAAGTTTCTCAGTATAATCTGTAAGGGGTTTAGAGAAAGCGTCCAAGAGCTCAAACTGATGTTTCTCCTATAAACAGAATATAGTGGTCTTTCTGCCACATGGGGCTTACTGCATAGAAACTAGTCATACATACGGCCTAAAATTAAGCAGGTTAGTCTGTATTTGCCACTCCATTTATTATATGGAGCCACTATAAAGGTCAAAAATGGTCAGGAAAATGTGGCACATATACACCACAGAATACTATGCAGTCATAAAAAAGAACGTGTTCATGTGATTTGCAGGGACATGGATGAAGCTGGAAGCCATCATTCTCAGCAAACTAACTCAGGAACAGAAAACCAAATACTGCATGTTCTCACTCATAAGTGAGAGTTGAACAATGAGGGGAACACAAGGAGGGGAACATCACACACCCGGGCCTGTCAGGGGTTGAGGGGGTTAAGGGAAGGGAGAGCATTAGGACAAATACCTAATGCATGCGAGACTTAAAATCTAAATGACGGGTTGATAGGTGCAGCAAACCACCATGGCACATGTATACCTATGTAACAAACCTGCAAGTTTGCACATGTATCCCAGAACTTAAGTTTAAAAAAAATAGTCAGTTATTGGCAATTTCATATAATTGAACTTAATTACTGTAGCGTAAGTCTCTACCAATTTCCTCCCTACTTTCTCCTTTCATGCTATTATGAGGACATAAGAAAATCCTTGGAGACACACACTACATTCCAGCATTAATGGAAAGACCCTACAAGAAAAGTAGGTACTCTGAGCAGAACTCAAGGAAATAGAGACACAAAAAACCCTTCAAAAAATTAATGAATCCAGGAGCTGGTTTTTTGAAAGGATTAACAAAATTGATAGACTGCTAGCAAGACTAATAAAGAAAAAAAGAGAGAAGAATCAAACAGACGCAATAAAAAATGATAAAGGGGATATCACCACCGATCCCACAGAAATACAAACTACCATCAGAGAATACTACAAACACCTCTACGCAAATAAACTAGAAAATCTAGAAGAAATGGATAAATTCCTCGACACATACACTCTCCCAAGACTAAAGCAGGAAGAAGTTGAATCTCTCAATAGACCAATAACAGGATCTGAAATTGTGGCAATAATCAATAGCTTACCAACCAAAAGGAGTCCAGGACCAGATGGATTCACAGCCGAATTCTACCAGAGGTGCAAGGAGGAACTGGTACCATTCCTTCTGAAACTATTCCAATCAATAGAAAAAGAGAGAATCCTCCCTAACTCATTTTATGAGGCCAGCATCATCCTAATACCAAAGCTGGGCAGAGACACAACCAAAAAAGAGAATTTTAGACCAATGTCCTTGGTGAACACTGATGCAAAAATCCTCAATAAAATACTGGCAAACAGAATGCAGCAGCACATCAAAAAGCTTATCCACCATGATCAAATGGGCTTCATCCCTGGGATGCCAGGTGGTTCAATATACGCAAATCAATAAATGTAATCCAGCATATAAACAGAAACAAAGACAAAAACCACATGATTATCTCAACATATGCAGAAAAGGCCTTTGACAAAATTCAACAACCTTCATGCTAAAAACTCTCAATAAATTAGGTACTGATGGGACGTATCTCAAAATAATAAGAGCTATCTATGACAAACCCACAGCCAATATCATACTGAATGGGCAAAAACTGGAAGCATTCCCTTTGAAAACTGGCACAAGACAGGGATGCCCTCTCTCACCACTCCTATTCAACATAGTGTTAGAAGTTCTGGCCAGGGCAATTAGGCAGGAGAAGGAAATAAACGGTATTCAATTAGGAAAACAGGAAGTCAAATTGTCCCTGTTTGCAGACCACATGATTGTATATCTAGAAAACCACATTGTATCAGCCCAAAATCTCCTTAAGCTGATAAGCAACTTCAGCAAAGTCTCAGGATACAAAATCAATGTACAAAAATCACAAGCATTCTTATACACCAATAACAGACAAACAGAGAGCCAAATCATGAGTGAACTCCCATTCACAATTGCTTCAAAGAGAATAAAATACTTAGGAATCCAACTTACAAGGGACGTGAAGGACCTCTTCAAGGAGAACTACAAACCACTGCTCAATGAAATAAAAGAGGATACAAAGAAATGGAAGAAAATTCCATGCTCATGGGTAGGAAGAATCAATATTGTGAAAATGGCCACACTGCCCAAGGTAATTTATAGATTCCATGCCATCCCCATCAAGCTACCAATGACTTTCTTCACAAAATTGGAAAAAACTACATTAAAGTTCATATGGAACCAAAAAAGAGCCCGCATCGCCAAGTCAATCCTAAGCCAAAAGAACAAAGCTGGAGGCATCACACTACCTGACTTCAAACTATATACAAGCCTACAGTAACCAAAACAGCATGGTACTGGTACCAAAATAGAGATATAGATCAATGGAACACAACAGAGCCCTCAGAAATAACGCTGCTTATCTACAACTATCTGATCTTTGACACATGTGACAAAAACAAGCAATGGGGAAAGGATTCCCTATTTAATAAATGGTGCTGGGAAAACTGGCTAGCCTTATGTAGAAAGCTGAAACTGGATCCCTTCCTTACACCTTATACAAAAATTAATTCAAGATGGATTAAAGACTGAAACGTTAGACCTAAAACGATGAAAACCCTAGAAGAAAACCTAGGCATTACCATTCAGGACATAGGCATGGGCAAGGACTTCATGTCTAAAACACCAAAAGCAATGGCAACAAAAGACAAAATTGACAAATGGGATCTAATTAAACTAAAGAGCTTCTGCACAGCAAAAGAAACTACCATCAGAGTGAACAGGCAACTTACAAAATGGGAGAAAATTTTCGCAGCCTACTCATCTGACAAAGGGCTAATATCCAGAATCTACAATGAACTCAAACAAATTTACAAGAAAAAAACAAACCACCCCATCAAAAAGTAGGCAAACGATATGAACAGACACTTCTCAAAAGAAGACATTTATGCAGCCAAAAGACACATGAAAAAATGCTCATCATCACTGGCCATCAGAGAAATGCAAATCAAAACCACAATGAGATACCATCTCACACGAGTTAGAATGACGGCAATCATTAAAAAGTCAGGAAACAACAGGTGCTGGAGAGGATGTGGAGAAATAGGAACACTTTTACACTGTTGGTGGGACTGTAAACTAGTTCAACCATTGTGGAAGTCAGTGTGGCGATTCCTCAGGGATCTAGAACTAGAAATACCATTTGACCCAGCCATCCCATTACTGGGTATGAACCCAAAGGACTAGAAATCATGCTGCTATAAAGACACATGCAGACGTATGTTTATTGCGGCACTATTCACAATAGCAAAGACTTGGAACCAACACAAATGTCCAACAATCATAGACTGGATTAAGAAAATGTGGCACATATACACCATGGAATACTATGCAGCCATAAAAAAGGATGAGTTCATGTCCTTTGTAGGGACATGGATGAAATTGGAAATCATCATTCTCAGTAAACTATAGCAAGGACAAAAAAACCAAACACCACATATTCTCACTCATAGATGGGAATTGAACAGTGAGAACACATGGACACAGGAAGGGGAACATCACACTCTGGGGACTGTTGTTGGGTGGGGGGAGGTGGGAGGGATAGCATTAGGAGATATACCTAATGCTAAATGACGAGTTAATGGGTGCAGCACACCAGCATGGCACATGTATACATATGTAACTAACCTGCACATTGTGCACATGTATCCTAAAACTTAAAGTATAATAATAATAATAATAAAGAAAAGTAGGTACTCATAGGTGCCCATCAGTTTGTTCCCTCATTTTTCTCTTCCTAAAAATCCCATCGTGTTGCTTTAGTCTAGTACAGCTTGATCTATTTAAAGTCATCTGATTAGAAATAATTGTTGACACATTTCTGTTGTTTACTGATCAGTCATTTTAACTAGCCCGACTGCTCTCAAGAAATCCTCGGACTTATTTACTGATTTGAAATCAATCATATTCCTTACCAGCACAATACGAGTACTTTAACAAAGGCACATAACAGATTTTAATATGTGAGGGCATAAAGGAGGGATAGAGGTAGTGAAAAAAAAAAGTTTTTTCTCACTATGTTTTTCATGGAGTTCCTTTATCAAAATCACCTGGGGCATTTACAAAGGGCAGGTTCCCAGGCCCCAGCCAAAAAATGTCAAACCAGAATCTCTCAAGTGTAAGCCAGGAATCTACATTTAAGTAATTAATTGTTCTAATCAGGTATTCACTATACTAGAATATACAAAGTATAAGATGACAAAACCCTATGTACCCACCACCTGGGTTTATGAATCTGAACATTTTCCTATTTGTTAGAGATTTTGTTTATACTATTTTGGTCTGTTTTATTTCTATTTGATTCTGAAATGAAACATTTCAGAGATGGTGCAGAATAGGTGGGAATCTCTCTGCTTCCACTTCCCTCCTTAAGTTCATAGGTAACCACCATCCTGAATCATCCAAAGTGGCCATATTTTGTATGTCTGCACTCAATAAAATATATATCTTTTATATGTTTTGTATATATATCTTTTATATGCATGTTTTATATGTTTTTTGAATTTTATATCAAATCACATCACATGGTATTCATCATTTTGCAACTTCCTTTTGTTTTCAGTATTAGGTTATGGAGATTGTTTTCATTGGTGATACTTTTAACTCAAGGCCAATTTTTTAAATTGCTATAGAGTGATATTTGCATATGTAACAAGTTCTATGAGCAAATTTTATACACATGAAACTTAGGATGTAGAAAGACAGTGAAACAGGACCAAAGTGATAAGTCCAGAGAAGAATAACATGGGACCCCTAGACGCCAGCATCAGGGTACATGGGTACACCTGTCACTGAACATGTGAACAGTCAAAAAGAAATGACCCTCAGCTGAGCAGTGTCTAGGTAGAAAGCATCCTGAAAGGCTTTTTTCCTTTTCACAAATAAGAAACTTATTTTAGGGTGTGCCACTCCCAAGCTGTATCCTAACTTTGGCATAGTTGTTTGAAACTTCCCAGGAGAAATTTCGAGAAGACATACAAGAACATCAGTTGGACTTCTTGGGGTGAAATTACATAATGCTACTTTTCAGAAATATTCTTTATACCTGTATACATTCAATAGTTCCATATTTATCAGTTTGTGTATATGTAGAGAAAAAAAATCATGAACATACTATCCAGCACTTCTTCTTCAAGTTATTTAAAGGCTCTTAATGGTAAAAAAGAAATAATAATAAGATAAAAATTAAATCAGCCGGTTGCAGTGGCTCATGCCTGTAATCCCAGCACTTTGAGAGGCCAAGGCAGGCAGATCATGAGGTCAGGTGATCGAGACCATCCTGGCTAATACGGTGAAACCCCATCTCTACTAAAACTACAAAAAACTAGCCGGGTGTGGTGGCGGGAGCCTGTACTCCCTGCTACTAGGTAGGCTGAGGTAGGAGAATGGCATGAACCCAGGAGGTGGAGCTTGCAGTGAGCCATGGTCGCGCTACTACACTCCAGCCTGGGTGAAAGAGCAAGATTCTGTCTCAAAAAAAAAAAAAAAATTAAATATTTTACCCTGTTTAAACATCACTGAGAAGATGAAGGGGAAAATTAAACATATCCTTATATGCTTATGCTTAAAGAAACAGTTTTTCACAACAAGTGACTAATAATATTTTTAAATTTCAAAATGTATTTACTTAAATCACTAGCAAATAGTGATTTATTTAATTTATTTAAATACTAGTAAATCACTTAAATCACTAAATAAAATCACTAAAGTGTTTTAAATTACATCAAATCACATTGTATGGCACTAGTTGCCACTGACTTAAAAAAAAATAACATCGTGGGCCAGGCGCAGTGGCTCACGCCCATAATCCCAGCATTTTAGGAGGCCAAGGTGGGCAAATCACAAGGTCAGGAGTTCGAGACCAGCCTGACCAACATGGTGAAACCATGTCTCTACTATAAATAACAAAAAAATTAGCCAGGCATGGTGGCGCACGCCTGTAATCCCAGCTACTCAGGAGGCTGAGGCAGGAATATCGCTTGAACCTGGGAGGTGGAGGTTGCAGTGGGCCGAGATTGAGCCATTGCACTCCAGCCTGGGTGACAGAACAAGACTCTGTCCCTGCCCCCCAGCCTCAAAAACCTCAAAAAAAATGATAACATCGTGTCAAATAAGGATATTTTTCTTAGTTTATTGCATGTATTGTATAAGCTAATTCACTGAATGTTTGCTTTAACTCACATCTGCAAAATCTTCTAACTATATTTTATGTGCTCACTTACGAAGTCTCTTTGAATCTTATCTTTTCCATATAGAGTCCCATTATGTCACTTCTTAGAAAATGTCAGTTTGGGTTTATGGTAGAAAGCCAAGGTCATAATGCTATTCTTTTCTATCTTTGAGCTAAAAGAAACAGTGCAAATATTCAGGAATTTGTGCAATCTATGAGAAGAAAACTGCAATCCCGATGAGTCATAGGAAGAACAGATCACACATTAAATTGGTCAAGCCAGGATTCAACATATTGAGAGTGATGGTCACAAAAGGAGATCATCACCAAGTTCTCAACAAAATTAGCTGTGCATTAGTTGTACTGGCAAAGATAAATTGTCTATACACATAAAGATGGAGATTATCTTAGGTATACTTTAGTAACCACATTTATTGAATATATGGGCATCTTTTCATACCAATAATAAGGATACTCAGTCATTATGTTAAAGGCTTCAGCATATGTCAATATATGAATGTACCAAAAAATTTTTAATTCCTCATAATTCAACAAAGGTAAAAAGATAGTATATGAAAAATATATTATAAAGTATGTTATGCAGTTAAGGAATAAAATTCCTGGGGAGCTTTTTCGTGTTTGTGGTGTCAGCTTTTTACAGACTGTAATTTTTTTGTGTTTTTGTTTTCAATAAGCGTTTATTTTTATATCACTGATATAATTCACCATCATGTACTTGTTGGAGTAATTTCAAACTGTAACATGTAGGTTTCTTTGCCCCTCTCCCAGTTCCACATTCAGCTCCCAAGGATGAATGTTGTATTAGTCTGTTCTCACATTGCTATACAGATACTACTTGAGACTGCGTAATTTATAAAGAAAGGGGCTTTAACTGACTCAGAGTTCCGCATGGCTGGGAGGCCTCAGGAAATTTATGATCATGGTGGAAGGCTAAGGAGAAGCAAGTACCTTCTTTACTAGGTGGCAGGAGACAGCAATAGAGCAGGGGAAAACACCACGTTTAAAACCATCAGATCGTGTGAGAAGTCAAGCACTATCATGAGAACAGCATGGGGGAACCTCCTCCATGATCCAATTACCTCCCAACAGGTCCCTCCCTCAACACCTGGGGAGATGAGATTTGGGTGGGGCACAAAGCCAAACCATATCAGATATCCTTCCAGATTTATTTTGTGCATATACGTGTATATATATATATATGTGTGCACACACACACACAGAGAAATAATTTTGCATTGGATGTGTCTGTATGTGTGCTCGTGTATGTGTGTGTGTAGGAGAGAGAGAGAGAAATATATTAAGGATTTTATGCTGTACAGCAGGGGTGTTCAATCTTTTGGCTTCCCCGGGCCACATTGGAAGAAGAAGAATTATCTTGGGCCACACATAAAATACACTAACACTAACGATAGTTGATGAGCTAAAAAAAAAAAAAAAAAAAAATCGCAAAAAAATCTCATAATGTTTTAAGAAAGTTTACGAATTTGTGTTGGGCCATATTCAAAGCTGTCCTGGGCTGCGGGTTGGAAAAGCTTCGTGTAGTGTTCTTTACCTTTCTTTCCCTACTTAGCAAACTCTCTATAGAACACTTTCCTTATCAGTAGCAGGGTCCCAAGTACTGTTGGGCAGGTTATGCCCCGCACAAGGACACCAGACTAAAGTGCTGAGTGGGGGCTGATAGGCAACCTGTGTTTTGCTCATTAAACATGAACCCTAGCACATGGGTGCATCCATTCAAACCGGCATTTTTTTTTTTTTTTTTTTTTTTGAGATGGAGTCTCGCTCTGTCGCCCAGACTGGAGTGCAGTGGCACGATCTCAGCTTACTGCAAGCTCCGCCTCCTGGGTTCACGCCATTCTCCTGCCTCAGCCTCCCTAGTAGCTGGGACTACAGGCTCCCACCACCACACCCGGCTAATTTTTTGTATTTTTAGTACAGACGGGGTTTCACCGTGTTAGCCAGGAGGTCTCTATCTCCTGACCTCGTGATTCGCCCACCTCGGCCTCCCAAAGTGCTGGGATTACAGGTGTGAGCCACCGCACAAAGGGACATTTTTCTAACTTGCACTGAAGCATTACGTAGGTTACTCATGGCCCTGTCAGTGCATGTGAATCTGCGTCATCGTATGCAACTACTGCATTGTGATCCAAGAAATGATGGTGCCATAACTCATTAAGTTAAAATTTTCTATTGATAGTAAGTTATTTCCAGTTCTTTGGCTACTAGCAAAAAATGCCACAACGAAGACAGTATTGATTATACTGTCTTTGCATGCGTGCAAGTAATTTTCTAAGATAGGTATCTAAAATTAAATTACCAGGTTGAAGAATGTGTTCTACTTTAAATTTCGATAGAGACTCCCAAGCTACTCTCCAAAGGGGAAAAAAATTCTATTTCCAAAATATTGTCAAACTTGAGTGTGGTCATGATTTCTTTTTTATGAAAAAAATATTAATTCTCATTCATAATTAATTAGTATTGTTTTAATTACCAGTGATGCTTTGGGGTTTTAAATCATTAGGAATTCTTCTATTAATAGACTCTTTATATGCTTTGACCAATTTTATTAGGTTGTCTTTTTATAACTGCTTCATTCATTGTCGTACATATGATCTAAATATTTTCTCCCAGTCTATAATTGTATTTTAACATTTATCAATCTTTTCTTTGTGGACACTTTATACAGTGTGCTGTTTCATAGAACATTTGGATTTTTAAAAAAGATTTTACAATTTTGACTCCTTTTCTCTTGCAGATGAAATTTAAAATCAACTTTTACCTAAGCATTTGTGGATGAAATTATATGGTCTCTGGGATTTACCTAAAACACTAAAAAAAATGTGAAGAGGGATAAATGAGCAAAATATTGGTCATTTTTAATCTGACAGATAAATCAAAATTTATTATTTTTCTGTATTTTGTGTGTATTTAAAGATATCCACACTAAAAATTTTCTAGTCTCTTTCCATTTTCTTTATTTTGTTTCATATTTTTAATGGACTTTTTAAAAAGCAGTTTTAGGTTTCCAGCAAAATTGAGTGGAAGGTACAGAATGTTTTATATGCCCTCTGCCAATAGCCACCATCAACATCCAGCACCAAAGTAGTACATTTGTAACAATCAATGACTCTACAATGACATGTCAGTATCACTCAAAGTTCATAGTTTACATCAGTGTCTACTATTGGTGTTGTACATTCTATGGGTTTGGATAAATGTATAATGACAGGTGTCTAATAATATATAATCATTCAGAATAGTTTCACTGCCCTAAAACTCCTCTATGGTCTGGATTTTCATCCCTTCCTTCTTGGTAGCCTTCTTACCCTCTCCATAGTTTTGCCTCTCCAGAATATCATATAATTGGAATTATTCAGTAGATAGCTCGTCAGACTGACTTCTTTCACTTAGTAATATGCATTTAAATTTCCTCCATATCTTTCCATGGTGTGATAGCTCATTTGTTTTTAGTGCTGAATAATGTTTTTTGTCTAAATGTACCACTGTTTATCCATTCACCTACTGAAGGGTATCTTGGTTAGTTCAACCTTCAGCAAGTATGAATAAAGTTGCTATAAACATCTGTATGCAGGTGTTTATGGGGACATACATTTTCAACTCATTTGAATAAAAATACCAACAGGTATGACTGCTGGATAATATGTTTCTTGGTCTTCATTTTCGTTTTCCAAGAATCAGCTCTGCAGGTGGGTTCATTTTTTAAAAACCCATAAAACCCATGAGGGTTTCATTTAGGCTCCTTTGAGTTTTTAAATTAATTCAAACAGAATATTTCATTCATTCTTTCATTCAACAAGCATTTATTGTGTGATGATTATGCGCCTCTGCTGCAGATTCTTGGTTTGCATCAGTGAACAAAACAAACCGTGATTACCCTTGTGGGGCTGACGATCTAGTGGGGAAACAGAGAGTACACATAACAAATTAGTTGTACAGTATGTTGGAACTTTCCTCTCCAGAGCAAGTATATATCTTTCCATTTATTCAGTCTTTTACATTCTTTGGTGACATTTTTGTTTTTTTTTTATAATGGTCTTGCTCATTTCTTTTTTTAGTTACTTCTAGGTATTTTATAGTCTTTTTTGCCACTGTGATATGAGGGGTTTTTCCTCCTATTCCATTTTTTAAATGATTAACGGGAGAGGACAAGAGTGGTCTTGCGTTTTTCTTTGTTAAGCCAAATTCTTTGATTTGTTGAAATTATCAGATTTTCGTATTATTCTCTTGGATTTTTGAGGTACACATTTTCTTCCTTTGTAATATAATCATCTCTGTTTTGTTGTTGTTGTTTCTGTTGCATTGGGCAGAACCTCAAGTGTAATGTTGAGTAGAATATGTGATAACAAGCATTCTTACTTTTTCCTAGTTTTATAGAAATATTTCCAGTGTTTCCTCATTATCCTCAATGCTTGCTTTAAGTGTCTTAGACTCATAATCAGGTGAAGAGCATTGCCTTCTAAGTCCTTGCCACTTAAAAGAGGTTTTTTTAATTTTAATTTATTTTGTTGTTTGTAATCACTAGCAAAACATTTCAAATCAGTTTGAAATGTTATAAATGCCCTTTTTGATATTTACTTGTCGTATTTTTTTCTTAAATCTGTTAATATAGGAGATTAATGACATTCTTATTGTGGAATTACCCTAGGTGAGACTCTAATTCCTGTCACCCTAATTTTCATCAGAAACCATGTAACGGTTTTCTCTGCAATCTACTAAAATGTTCCTCAAACCTAGCTGTGCTATGAATACATCCATGGAACTTTTTAAAAACACATAGCTTAGCCTCCCCGTAGGCCTACTAAATCATGTACCAAATTCTACATGAACCTTAGCACGTAGAAGTGTCCAAAGCTATACAAGTATACTGACAATCTGCCGCTATTGAAAACTACTACTCACTGAAGCTGTAAAATTAAACATAAAGAGACAAATACTATTTATTCATTCAAAGAAACAAGCCTTTGAGAGACCCCTCTATTGGAGTCACATTGCTCTTGAAGCCAAGGGTTTCGTCTGATATACCCAGCAAGAAGTGGGTTAAGCCAAAAGAAAGTTATTACATGAATGAAAACACAGTTGCCAGATAAGACATAAAATACCCAGTTACACTTTAATTTCAGATAAAAATGTTTAGCCACAGTAGGTCCAATGCAATATTGTCTTATACAATATTTGGAACTACTTCCACTAAAAACTTATTATTTTTTATCTGAAATTCAAATATAACTAGACATCCTATCGTTTTATTTGCTAAATCTGCAAATTCAAATTGCAAATGAGGGAGAGGATGACATATTTGAGAGACCAAAACAAGCTCTCTACTTGTAGTAAAGCATTTCCTAAAACATAGTATGGCTTAATTGAGAGTATATCAGATAGCATAAAGAATCTTTATTTTGATAATTTTGTAGTTTAATATGTGTTAGAAATATATCAGATTATTTATGTATTATATACCATGTATATACAATATTTAAAATGCAGCTATAAAATATTAAGGAAGATACAGTGGTAAAAATAATAACTACAAATATTAAGGAAAATATAGTTGTTGGACTCAGGATGATTGACATTCGGAGGCCAGTGGGCTGAATCAGAGAGTTACAACAGTGCCGGTAGAAAAGTAGACAGAAGTCAGGTCAATACAAGACTTTAAAAAAAAAATAAGGGGTACATTTTTATGAAAAAGGAATACATGTTTACTTATGTCTTTTTTTGTTGTTCATGGCAAAGGAAGGATCATCATAATATTCCTAAAAACAATTTATGGAATTTCAGTGTTAAATAGATATTTTTCTTATGTTTTCAAACCAAGAAAAGTCTTGTCTGCTTTAAGACCTGAGCCAAAGCAAAGAGTTACTAAGTATTGTAAAAAATAAAAATAAAAAAGAGTCACAGGAATTGGCAGATACCACATAAGCATGATAGTATGGAATACATATCAGCTCAGCAGGACTGATCCTATATTCTATAATGTATTTAGTGACCTGAGTGCCAATCTTTAATTTTAGCACTTAAAATGAAGACTGGTTCCAGCATACTTACGAAATGATTTAGGTAGAAATTATATCCCAGTCCCCAAAATGGGCCTCAGTTCTCCCCGCCGGTTCACACCTGCACTTCTGAACACTTCTCAGGACGAGCTGTATCAATATCCTTTGAAACTACTCAGGAAACTGTGTATGGAAGTTACAAAAGTTCTGGCTAATCAGTGCTCCGTTTGAAGCCTAGTTGGAGTTTAAAAACCTAGCAAAAGAGAAACCAATTTTCTTCAACATGTCTTAATAAGTAGAAGCAGATTAATAGCAGATAAATTTAAACAGATAATATAAAGCCATGATCGCTAATTAATGATTACATGTCAGTTAAAAGATTGCTTGTTGCAACTTTAAATAACAATATTATCTATCCATCATCATGACCTAATATTATAGTCATAGTGGCACATATTATTAATAAAAGATAATATGCCTAGAACTTGGAGTTGAACGGAATATATCTAGCAAACAGGAAATAGTTGTTGTTTTCTTTCCTGCTAGTCTACATAAGTTTCAAATTGAAACACAGTGGAATAAAAATTAAGACTGACTTATTTAACTTGCCTAGAAATTCTGACTTAGGATAATTACATTATCGTTAGCTTCTTACTGTCAATTTACATGAAAATCTTCACTGCTCTAAAAAAAGAGATTTAATAACATTCTGGTTTTTAAAACAGGATATTATTTTAAGAAAGGAAAGTCTAGAATGAGAAATTTATTGTCAAATGAAACATATAATGCTAATATGAGATTTTTACACTAGTCCAGCTGGCCAAAGATCAAATACTTCAGGATGAAACTGAGCCAAGTCTTTTGCTAAAAGGTCCCTTTCTTTCACGGGTGAGTGAGGAGTATTAGCAGTCCAGAATAACCAGTAACACACATATGGAATTGAAGACAGCATAGGGGCCAGAACCTTGTGTCAGGAAGTTTCAGTTCTATTCCCGGTTTAGCATTTAATTTATCATGACTATGTGATGCCACCGTTCATTGACAAGCAAAGCGTTCAAGCAATGCTATATATGCCAAACCAATCGTCCACTATTTGGAAGCATCTGGGTATTTTACTAAACTTTTTGGTTCTCTTCCAAATGCTGGCATTAGGAAAACAGAGCCTGTGTCTCTCTAGAAGAGGCACACTCTTTTCTGGACTTTATATTTCTCCAGTCTGCAAAATATCCAGTAATTTGCACCTCCTCCCCAACTGCCTTGTGTGTGTGCTGTGTTTGTGCTGTTCAGTTAAGAGCATTTGTAGAAAGAGGGGTGTTGGGATTATCTTTCCCAGATGGAAGGAAAGAAGCAGAGAGGAGACTCCTGTTGTTTAAGCCTCACAGAATCTGACACTTTTAGGAAAGAATGATTCTCTAAAAACCCTATTCATCTTCCCCAGATACCACTGCAATCAAAGAGGCTTCACTGCCCAGGAACTAAATAGCTCTTCCAAGTAAATTAGGAACTTCTTTCAGATTTCCAGTTTACCACCATGGGCTTGGACATCTTAGGTTTCTGACAGTAAATCAAATTGAATTGAAATTTCTCTCCTAATTTGCCTCGTATCTATTGACCTATGTCTGAAAGAGACACAAGTGGAAATTTCTTCCACAGCAGCTACATATATTATCTAAACTTTGACAGCAGCTGGTTGCAGTCCCAAAGCAACAGGATGTTTCTGTTCTTAGCACTACACAGACACATAATGGGAAAAAGAGACATACATCACAGCATTGACTCAAGTTCAGCTCACAGTCAGCTAAATACTTTTTCCTCATTAAAAAAGCAGACTGTGGCTATTCCATTAAGAATAGCCTGTTCATGTTCTAAACAGGCACTAAATTCTTAGTCTGCTTTAAAGAGGGTATATAGAACACAGAAGCACTTGCCTAGTCTGCCCCAGTCAGAGAACACATAGAGTAATATATTTAATTCTGGGCACCAACAGTTAATTGAGTCATTGACAGAATTATATCATATCCAGAGAAGAGTAAACATAATTACCGAGGATTTGAAAACATGTCATATGAGAAATAATTAAAGGAACTGAGGATGATTCACCCAAAAATGAAAGAACATGGGCACCACATCATTCTTGAAATATTTGAAAGGCTGTTTCATGGAATAAAGACACTGCTATTTCTGTCTGTTTCTTGTGGGACAAGCTGAGAAGTTAGAGTAAGGCAGAATTTGACACTATAAACTTTTTTAAAATTTATAGCTGCACAAATATGAAATAGGTTGCTTCCTCTGAAACAGTGTACAGCACATAGTGGTCAATAAACATACCTTAAATGATTGCTAAATAAAAGTTTAAAGAACTGGGCAAGGTCAGGCGCAGTGGCTCACACTTGTAATCCCAGCACTTCAGGAGGCTGAGGTGGGCGGATCACGAGGTCAGGAGTTCAAGACCAGCCTGGCCAACACAGTGAAACCCTGTCTCCACTGAAAAAAAAAAAAAAAAACACAAAAATTAGCTGGGGATGGTGGCAGGCGCGTATAATCCCAGCTACTCGGGAGGCTGAGGCAGGAGAATCGCTTGAACCTGGGAGGCAGAGGTTGCAGTGAGCCAAGATTGTGCCACTGCACTCCAGCCTGGGAGACAGAGCTGGACTCCATCTCCCAAAAAAAAAAAAAGAAGAAGAATAAAGAAAGAGAGAGAGAGAGAGAGATGAAAGAAAGAAAGAAAGAAAGAAAGAAAGAAAGAAAGAAAGAAAGAAAGAAAGAAAAGAAAAGAAAGAAAGAAAAAGAAAGAAAGAAAAGAAAAGAAAAAAGAAAAGAAAAGAGAGAAAGACAGAAAGGGAGGGAGGGAGGGAAGGAAGAAAGGAAGGAATGAGAAAAGAGAAAAAAAGAGAAGAAAAGAGGGCAAGACGACTTCACAGGTTTCTTGCAATTAATGTTGTAGTAATTGATGGTCTTTCAAAACACAGTTTCTGTATATTGACAGGAAGAAAAACCAGGATGCAGAAGTTGAGGAGAGAATTCATGATACCCAAGTGGGCATAAAATTTAAAATGTTTAACATGGAGGGAAACCAACATGTAGAACTCGAAAGCTAACAGGAAGGGGAGTGGGAAGAGCCAGGCTCTAGTCTCGACTTTACCAGTGGATTTTAAAAACTCCCTGGAGTTCAGTTTTCTCATCTGTAAAATCAAGGCACTGGAACCTTGAACTTTTATATTTCCGAATTATTTGGTGTTGAGTGAAGTGTCCAAATGACATATCAGTAACTTAAAGAATTGTGTTTTGACTTAAGTATAAATGTCAATATAAAAATATGTTAATTGTTGGGCACTCAAAGACATAAAGATGGGAACAATAGTCACTGAGGACCACAGAGGGGAGAAGGAGGGAGGGAGGCAAGGGTTGAAAAACTACCTCTTAGGTATTATGCTCACTACCTGGGTGACAGGATCAGTCATACCCCAGACCTCAGCATCACACAACATACCCATGTAACAAGCCTGCACATGCAGTTCTGAGTCTGAAAGTTGAAATAAAAAATATGTTAATTATAATAAATTTTAAAGAAGTTTACAAACATAAATAATAAATAGAGCAAGGACGAGAGCAAAAGGAACCACTACTAAAAAAAAAAAATCCTCCAGAAGTACACAAAATTTATTTATTTATTTATCTGAGATGGAGTTTCACTCTCATTGCCCATGCTGGAGTACAATGGCACGATCTTGGCTCACTGCTGCCTCTGCCTCCCAGGTTCAAGCGACTCTCTTGCCTCAGGACTCCCAAGTAGCTAGGATTACAGGTGCCCAGTACCATGCCTGTCTATTTTTTAAAAAAATATATTTTTAGCAGAGATGGGGTTTCACCATGTTGGCCAGGCTGGTTTCCAACTCCTCACCTCAAGTGATTCACCCACCTCTGCCTCCCAAAATGCTAGGATTATAGGCGTGAGCCACCATGCCTGGCCCAGAAGTACACAAACTTGACATCTACAATTCATACTAAAATTTACCTGGGCAACAAGGTAAATTCCTTGTTGCTCAGGTAATTCCTTAGTAATGTTAATCCCTGTTGCCCAGGGAATTCCTTCCAATATTAAGGAAAATAAATGTATTTAAAAAATAAAATGTGTTATTTTAGTATGTTATTATGTTGACTAAACCATAATTATAACTATATATGTAACTATCAATGTTTCTATTCAAGTCAAATTCTAAGACGAATTCTCTATCCTTCTGGCCCCCTACCCCAGTGTGTTTCGGAGTCACCATATGCCAGCTGACACTGGTTCACACCAGCTCGAACGGGCCAATTATGCACATTTCTTCCAACCCTGCAGTCAGTAACATCTTCTTGGCAGCTTGAAATGGGTCAGGGGAGTATTTACACCACGGAAATCCACAAATGCTACAAATAAGGACTTTCATTCTATTTGGAGATTCAGTTGCTAAACACTTACCAACATACCATAGCCCACCCATTTCCTGCTCCTAAGAAATATGCTCCCCAAACAGTGCCTTTTCCTATTCCACTTTGATCTTAAAATGTATGAGGTCTTGTAATAAAATAACCTTGTATTTCTTTACAATCACTGAATATGTGTTCAATTTAGACTTCAGCATAACAAGACCAAAACTAGAAAAAATAACCTTAGGATAAAGAGCATGCATTAGTCATGGGGCATTACTGGATGGAAAGTATTGTAAGATTTCAAAAATGTTTGATTCACAATATGCATTAAGAAACCTGTAATCCCAGCACTTTGGGAAGCCGAGACGAGAGTATCTCCTGAGTGCAGGAGTTTGAGACCAGCCTGGGCAACATGGCAAAATTCTGTCTCTACAAAAAATACCAAAAAAAAAAAAAAAAAAAAAACAGCCAGACCTGGTGGTACATGCCTATAGTACCAGCTACTTGGGAGGCTGAGATAGAAGGATCACTTGGATCCCGAGAGATCCAGGCTGCAGCGAGCCAACATCGTGCCACTGCACTGCACTACAGCCTGGGCAACAGAGTGAGACCTTGTTGCAAAAAGGGAAAAAAGGAAGGAAGGGAGAAAGAAAGAAATCCAAAAGTTTATAAAATGTACTAAACCACTCCTTTGCTTATATCTTGACAGAGGCCTCCGTTACACAAAGAATGAAACTTACCACTTTATAGCAACCTTTAAGTTGCCAAACACAACTTTGGTTTAAAAGAAAAAGAAATTATATAATGAAGCCCATGGGAAGAGTGATTACTGGGATTTAATTACTATTTAATCAGATTGTTCCATTATCTGGAATATTCAGAAGGGAATTAACCTAAATAAGTTATAAGCACAATCATACTATCAATAACACTTCTTTGAATGTAACAAAGCTCTGTAGCAGTGAGGGATAAGATACATGGAAAAGATCAGGTCTGTTTGCAAATATCATGGACCCCTTTATAAGAATAGTTTATGATGACAAAAAAATGTAGTTTTCTGTCACAGTCTTGTTTCAAACAGCAGGGACAATAGGAGGAGACTGAAGTAATAACAACAGCATAGTATTCTGAAGGAATTAGCATACCTCAAAAAATTCTTAACGTATTCTCAAAATTAATCTGTCTTTGTGAAAACAGGGCTAGCTGTTTCAATTTGCATTAATCTGTTAAACCATGCACAAGTTCGGTTTACTTAAGTAACATATCCAATGTTAGCTTAATTGATTGTCTGAAAAATTTAATCTGATTAACCAATTATCCGACATGTGAAAGATAATACCTGTGTAATATTAACAATCTGCTCTTGCTGTTTAAGATATACAGAGTTCTATAAAATTAGATTAACCCACAAAATTATCCTAGACCCTGTTCTTTGGGGGTGCCTTTTAATGGTGGCTGGGGGAATTTAGAAGGATTAAAATAAATGGCAAAAAATTAAAAAAATGAAGTTGTGATTCAGGCCATCATCAATTTTCATCTCACAACGAACCATCACCAAAGTGAACCCTCAATCTGCAATCACTGTACTGATAGCCCTCAGGCTTCTGTCAAGATGTATTTTTCCACTGACATCAGCCACTGGTGGTCCTTTTAAAGCTGATTTCACCCAGATCAATACAATCAGACAGATGGAGAGGATGGCAACATAAGTCACAAATGATGACTTGCCTCAAAAGAGCCAACACTGCATGTGCGACATTTCTCTGTAGATGTTGCTTTTGAAGAACCTAACTGTGCTTTCTACAGTATTTTTTTTTAGCCAATACCGTACCCCATCCTAATACCTTGTACAACACAGGGAATCTGGAAGATTCCTAGAACTAATTGACTTGACTTAAACACACCAGAATGGTTGAGTCATGCCCAAGTAACTCTATATGCTCTATGAGAAGCTTTAGCTACTCCTATGATTAAAAATATTTCTATCAACATATGTCTGTAGTACAGAGAACTGAGAATAAGTAACCATACTCATTTACAAAAATACAAATTGTTGTGGGAGCTGTTTTATAAGTGTGTAAAATAAAAGAAACTCAAGAGAAGAGATTTTAGTAAGGATATATCTTTAAGTAGCAGTGGCTAAATGGCCCTGTGCTAGGAAAACTGTTCCCCTGCACAAACTGAAAACTTGCCTCGCTTAGTTCTTTTCCAGTGTTTTTACTATACTGCAAAAGAGTCTTCCAAAAATATAATCTCATATGCATCCCTAAATGTCTAGCCACAAATAATTATTAGTACCTTTTAAATAATCAATTTGTACTCTGAAAAAAGAAGAAAAATATATAACCTTTCCCAAAAATAGGTAGTGGGAAAATAGTAAATACATGCCATTACTCATAGGTGTTATACTTCTTTTTTCATTGCACTTTGCTTTACAAGATATATATTTAATATTCATGTAAAATGCTTTCTTGGCACTAGGTCAGTGTCTTCCCAATGAAGAGCCCATTGATGATACAGAATGGAACTTCTCTTCTAATTAAAGACTGCCTATTATCCAGTGTACTTTTTGTCACATTGAAGAACAGGGAACTTTTTATTCTTATTAAGAAATGGCCTTTCAGATTCAGTAACAAAATGTTCTGTTCCTCAGGAAATAAGAGAAGATCGAGATAGGGCGCGGCTGGACTCCATGGTGCTGCTGATTATGAAACTGGACCAGCTTGATCAGGACATAGAAAATGCCCTCAGCACCAGCTCCTCTCCATCAGGCACACCAACAAACCTGCGGCGGCACGTTCCTGTGAGCTTTCCACTTTCTACTTCTTTTCCCATAGGAGTCGTAACTCTTGACCTTATACAGTCCCTCTTGCAAAGGCAACATCCTTGTTAATGGCATCTAACAACATGTAACCCCAGTACAGTACCATAAAGATAACCAAAATACTTCTATGCATCATGCATACATTCTATGCATAATTCTATGCAGAGAGGCCACAGAGAAATGGGTGATACAAAAGAACTTGTTTATCATTAAACAGGAAGGAAAGTCACCTTAGGAAATTATGGTTTGTAGTGATCAAACCTTCCTTAATTGTCAGTCTTCTCTGATACGAGAGAGACTCTGTTAGCAAGCACTATGTCTATGACTGGCCCACAAATCTGTATTGCATATAGAAGAATCTTATTATAGATTTGCTGCATGAGTAAATGGATGGATGGATGGATGCCAGTTGAACTAACCCAACACACTACAAGAAACAATTTAGATGAGATTAACTTGGGAAAACTCTAAAATTCACTTAGTGAAATACAGTGAAAGAGACAGAGCTGAGAATTGTATTTTATTATGCATCAGTTTTACATAATATAGACACTCTCTTAAGAGTCCAACACTCAAAATTTGGAAGACAGATTCTAGGATCAACTATATGCTTTACATATTTACTATCAGCATCATATTAAAGGCCTTAGTTTGTGCAGATCTAGGATGGTTGAGTTTACTTATAATTAAGCTATGAATCACTTTTCAACTCATCTATTATTTGTGTTATTCAATAATAAACATATTAAGTCAAGAAATTTGTATTTACCTGAGATCAAAGCAGTAGAAAATCATATATATAAATTTGAGCACCTACTGAAATATAACTGTTGCATATCAAATTATTTGATACAAATTCTTCTGCCTTTATTTAAATTGTAAACTGGGTTTTATATTGCACACATCAGCCCACAGAATATAACAATTGTTAGCTCTGTAAATAGAGATGTATTCAGAATAGGCAAAATAATACAGTGGAATAACATTATGAACTTTGTAGTGTAAAGGTCTGAGTTCAAATGTCAGCATTATACCTGACTTTCTGGGAACATCAAGTTATTTAATTTCTCAACTGCAGGTTCATGTGAAAAATGGAGATGTTATTTCCTAACTAATGGCTCGTTGGGAGGCATAAATGAAAAAATGTATATAAGAAGTACCGCACGGATCAAGCACAGAGTACATATTTAGTGATGGTCAGTTCTCCTTCCTTCCCCTTATACTAGACTCACTCACACCAGGCCTTGAGCTAGAGATGAATAAGACATATCCCAAAGCCCTCAAAACTCCTTTTTGATCTTTATGATATTCTAGGTCACCTCTTGTTCTTTATTTATGTTCCTTGGAATTTAAAGCTAATTTTAACATTCTTTCACCATCAAATTTTTTTCCACAGAACTTTCCACTCCTTCTGATAATTGTGTAGTGGAATAAGAGGATTATAATGGCAGGATTAGGACCTGGACCATCTACCAAGGAGCACTGACCCAGATACAGAGGACAAACTGCCTCTGCCCCATCCTCATACTTCACTGTGAATTTATAGATCAGCAGGAAGAACAAGACACAAAGTGAAACACTCACCGCCCCCCTACCCCACCCCAGTTTGAGAATATTTATGAGAAAACGCCAGAAGAAGTTCTGCATATAATAAAAATTATCAAGAATAATATAGTCTTTAAGGATGTCTTTAACATAAAAATAAATTAAAGCACAGGTAGAGATAAAGGTTTAAGGAGGCTGCATAGATAAAACCTTATAGATTGGCTATGGCCTGATGAATTGACACAGCCCAGGATCCGGTGGTTTTCTCCTTTGCAAGCCTGGTTTTACCCAGGCACTCAGAGTGTGCCAGTCTCTTAGGGCTCGCTGAGATAGCCAATCTCATAGGATGAATGGGGATAGGGGATCAGATCAAGACTAAGTATTTAGTGAGTGCTAAGCTTTATGTAAGTTACTTCATTTAACCTCTTGACAGTCCTACCATGAGAAATGTGAGCTTCAGAGAGAGAGGATGAGTAATTTACCTGTGTTCACACTGACGGAGAGTGGTGAGTTATTTACCAAAGGTCACCCAGCAGGTGAGATTTGCATCCACATTAGTCAGACTCCAAAGCCTATGCTCATTCTGCTACATTAGAAACCTTCCCAACATGCCAGTTTTTTCTTTACAATGAGATAAGTACCACTTCCAGAACCAGAATTCCCTGGTTGTCAGACAGTCAGAGCATGTTCTTCCTAATAATGACATATTTTTGAAGTTTGAATTAGGAATAGTTTTCTAGTCAATGTGTAATTAAGGGAAAGTTGACGGTCTCTTGGGATATTTCACTGATACCGTAGGGAAGTTCAGACACACACAGGCCAGAACCACTGTACCACCTTTGATTGGGCCTCCCCTGCTGTTCTGCAGTATCTTTTGGTCTCCCTGGATCTTCTCCCACATTTCAAGGTGGCTATTCAACAATTTTACTTGCACTTATCTCTTAGCATCCTTACCTCTTAACACTCTTGCCTTCCTCTTCTCATAGAAAATTGAGACCATTGAGAGATGTCCCGGCATCACACCTGCAAATAGCTATAGGTGCCTCTTTGCTTCTTTCTCTCCTCCAACATCAATCAAAGATGTGTTGCTCCTGTCATCTAATACTGATCTGTCTCCATCCTCATCTCCATTCCTTCCCACCTCCTGCTTTGCTCTACCAGTTATTCAGACTCTCACTTAGGTTCAAATTCCATTGCTCTGTTCCTACTAGTCCTCACCCTTTTTCTCTTTAGCAAGTATAGTTGGGACTACAGGCATGCATCGCCATGGCTGGCTAATTTTTTTTTTTTTTTTTTTTGGTAGAGATGGGGTTTCTCTATGTTGCCCAGCTCTATGTTCTAGGGCTCCTGGCCTCAAGCAATCTTCACACCTCGGCCTCCCAATGTGTTGGGATTATAAGCATGAGCCATCATACTCAGCCTCTTTCTTGATTTAATTATTGGCTATTGCTCCATCATTTCTCCCCATCCTTTCTCTTATTTGACAGATCCAGCAGTGCCAGTGCAGTCTCTCACCACAACATTCTGTATTTTCTCCACCACCTACCTATTCAATAAATCCTTCCTTAGTTTGACTCTGCTGTTAGTGGATAGGGAGAAGAGATGTGATGGGGAAGAGTTAATTGTTCCTTTTTCCTCTTGACTCTCTTTCTGGAATTGCTCTAGCTCATCCCTTCCTTTATAAGCCAAACTTTAATCTCCTCTTTGTCTTAATTTCTTTCTTGATTTATAATTTATTTTTATTTTTTAGAGACAAGGTCTTGTTCTTTTTTTTGAGATGGACTCTCGCTCTGTCACCAGGCTAGAGTGCAGTGGCGCAATCTAGGCTCACGGCAACCTCTGCCTCCCTGGTTCAAGCAATTCTCCTGCCTCAGCCTCCCAAGTAGCTGTGATTAAAAGCATGCACCACCATGCCCAGCTAATTTTTGAATTTTCAGTAGAGACAGGGTTTCACCATGTTGGCCAGGATGGTCTCGATCTCCTCACCTCGTGATCTGCTCACCTCGGCCTCCAGAAGTGCTGGGATTACAGGCGTGAGCCACCACACCTGGCCAAGGTCTTGTTCTTTTAATTTGCATGCTTAATATGTGTTGCTCAGGCTGGAGTGCACTGGCACAATAACTCACTGTGGCCTCAAACTCCTGGGCTCAAGCAATCCTCCTGCCTCAGCCTCCTGAGTTGCTGAGAATACAAGCGCACATTACCATGCCTGGCTAATTTTTTTTTTTTTTAATTTTTGTAGAGATGGGGTTTCTCTACATTGCCCAGGCTGGTCTAGAGCTCCTGGCCTCAAGCAGTCTTCCCACCTCGGCCTCCCAATGTATTGAGATGACAGGCATGAGTCATCATACCCAGTCTCTTTCTTAATTTAATTATTGGTTATTGCGCCATCATTTTTCCTCACTCCTTCTCTTGTCTGACAAATTCAGTAGTGCCAGTGCAGTCTCTCACCACAGCATCAGATGTGATTTACCTGCTTCTCTTCCTTGACTTTCACTGCTCTCCTGGCTTCTGGCTGCTCTCCATTTTTCCTTCTATTCTTCAACAGTTGCTTTCCAGACCCTTCAGTGGCTCCTCTTCCTATATCTGCCCCTGAAATCTTATATCTAGATTCTAGACTCAATTCTCCCTTTATCTGGCTTTGAATATTCTCCCTGGGAATCACCACAGCTTCCATTCCCTTCTCTATATTGAGGGTCAGCAGTGAGACCTTTTCTTGTGGTCTCCAGATCAGAACAACCAATGGATCACAAGATGCACCCTTCCCTGGGCCAGAGTTGAGTGGTATAAGCACTTCTAGCACACATCACACTGGAGTCCCTGCCATGATAAAAACCCCACAGAGAGCTCTATATTCCCAAAGAATGGCATAACTGGAGGCATAGGGTAACACTGATAGATGGAGTCTTGCAGGAAGATGGCCTGTAGGATTAATTACACAAAGCAAGTTGGGTTGGGGGGGGCGGGTAACAGGGAAATTATGAGTGGCAGTTGTAATGAGTACCCAGGGTTTATTCACTGCTTGGTCTGCTTATGGTAGCAGTGGAAAATTAAAGGAGGGAGCGGATGTGAGAGATTTTGGGAGAGCTTTTGGGTAATTTCTCAAATTGAACAGAGAACAGAAGAGAAAATAATAAAGATTTGTACTAAACTACACATTGATGGTCCTATTAAAATTACTTATTTAGTTGTGTTTGAGGCCTCTGCAGAATATCATGGTGGTTACTTTAAAAAGTTGGATTCTGGGGTCAGACACACCTGAACTCTAATGCCAGCTCTACCTTGGGATACGACTTTGGTCAAGTTATTTACCTTAAGCCTTGGCTTCACCCACCATCTCTCGTGTGATGATGGTAACTTCCACGTAGAGGTGATGAACATTGAAGCAGATAATGGTTGTAAAGCCTTGTCTGTGAAAGGTAAAAATGCAATAAACGGTAGTTTTTAAAAGTTATTATTTCACCTTGGAAGCATTACATGGTTCAAAAGATACAAGATTACTCTGTTATTTATCTAATCAAATCACAAACAGGAAATTAATGCAAGGCCAGGCGCAGCAGCTCACGTCTGTAATCTCAGCACTTTGGGAGGCTGAGACGGACGGATCACGAGGTCAGGAGATTGAGACCATCCTGGCTAATACGATGAAACCCCGTCTCTAGTAAAAATACAAAAATTTAGCCGGGTGTGGTGGTGGGCGCCTGTAATCCCAGCTACTCGGGAGGCCGAGGCAGGAGAATGGTGTGAACCCAGGAGGCGGAGCTTGCAGTGAGCAGAGATCGCACCACTGCACTCCAGCCTGGGCAACAGAGTGAGACTCCGTCTCAAAAAAAAAAAAAAAGAAAGAAAAGAAATTAATGCAAAATATTTCTGATATACCTAAAGGTCAAATATAAATGGCTTATAAATTACCTGCTACTTATGATTATGCATTCAATGTTTATAAATTATCTGCTATTTAAGACTACTTGATGTTGATCCAATTTGAAATTCTAATGAATCATATTCTTAGGGTAAAATGTAGTTTGTCTTTTCTATGCAAAAAAACAAAGAAGAAGAAGAAGAAGACATGGCCCTGATCCAAAATCATTCCAGGCATCAGAAATTTGCTCAGAGTTATGTCTTCTACACACACGCACACGCACACACACACATGCACATACATTTAAAGAGTGTAACATTACTTTTTGCTGCGTATGTCTTTTGTACCCTTCCAACTGGAGAAAATTTAGTTTTGATGCTTTTGATCACATAATTTTACAGCAGAAACAATAAAATTACTTCTATTGTGAGAATTAAGGAAGAAAAGGTATTAATATTTGTCAGTCTAGTAGTTTCTTCATAAAACTGTATTTAACGATCATGTTCTATCTGCCAGGCACTATTCTAACACCTGGGGACACATCAGTAAACAAGACAGGTGAAGTCCTTACTCTTGCGATGCATAGATTCTAATAGAGGAAGACAGACAAGAATTATAAAGAGGCTGGGTGCGGTGGCTCATGCGCGCAATCCCAGCTTTTGGGAGGCCAAGGCGGGTGGATCACGAGGTGAGGAGTTCGAGACCAGTCTGGCCAACATAGTGAAACCCCGTCTCTACTAAAAATACAAAAAATTAGCTGGGTGTGGTGGTGTGCACCTGTAATCCCAGCTACTCAAGGAGGTTGAGGCAGGAGAATTGCATGAACTCAGGAGGTGGAGGCTGCAGTGAGCCAAGATTGCGCCATTGCACTCCAGCCGGGGCGACGGTGTGAGACTCCATTCCAAAAAAAAAAAAAGAATTATAAAGAGAGATGGATGCATAGATGGATAGGAAGGTAGACAAATTTATAGATGGTAGATAGGTACCTAATAGATAGATAGATAGATGATAGATAGATAGATAGATAGATAGATAGAATATGTAGTAGATTAGCAAGCAAAGAGGATTGGAAAATAGAGAATATGTTATAGAGGTTGAAGGGAGTGAAGTTCTTTGGTTTGAAATGTCAACGGATGCTTCTCTGAGGTAGTAAGATTCAAGCTGACAACAGAGTGACAAGAAGGGGCCAGCAAAGGGAAATACTGGGACAAGGGACAAGAAAGAGCACAGGGCCTAGTCCCTCCTGTAGACACCAGCTTACTGTATTAAAAGAAATTATCAAGAGGAGGTAGGACTGAGAAACAAGAGAATGGCAAAGCTAAGACTGGAGAGTTGGGGTGCGGGACATGATATTTGACCATGTGAACCACGGCAAAGTTGAGATGTATAAAGAGGATACATAGAGATATTTAAATCATAGTTTTCTCAGATTAAAAGCCTAGAGTGATACGTGCCTTTGCTCCATCCCCTCTGCAATTTCCCCCTCCCACCTTTCCTCTGTGCAACCAAACCACCTATAACTCAAAGAAAGCATATGATATATTAAATGCGCAGCCTTTGCAGAGGTTACCAGGTAATTCTATCCACTCAACAGACATGTCTTGACCTCACACTATGTAGTAGTTGCTAAGAAAACATAATAATAATAACAATATTTATTGGAGTAGCTAGCATTTAATGAAAATTATTAGGAGCCAATTACCAGCACTTTGCTTTATGCTTATGAAACTCCATGAGTGTCTACTATCATTATACCCATTTTCAAACAAGGGAATTGAATGACACATAACAAGACATAATTCCTGCCCTCAGTTTATTAGATAGACATTTCAGCTCAAATATTCCAGGCCACCGTAATAGCTGTCACCATAGAGGTTGAATAGGAACATAGAAGAGATTGAGGTAAGAAGAAATGAGAACTCTCTTTGTATTTGAAATCCAGTGGCCCTGTGAGGAACTCTGGGCAGCGCTGTATAGTCAGAGGAGTGTCAGTGAGTGATTCAAGGTCACACAGTAAGGAAGGTGTGGCTGTGGGCTTCTGCCTTCTAACTTCTCTGCAGGGCCCTAGCTAGCCACACTCCCTGCCTTTCCAATGCACACTCAGCTGTTAAATTACCAAATAGTATGTTACCTCTTTCTCAAGTATTTGCAGACCCTCTGATGAGTACAATGGTTCTTACCAAATAATGCATGATTATGTGTGACACGTCACTGTCAGTTGTCAGCAACTCTTTAGTGTATCAGTGTGCACTGGGAGAAAGAAGAAGTGACAAAGTTCTGGTGGTAGGAAGAAGGGCATTTGGGAACATTCACATGTCCTTCATACCAGTGCATTTGTTTTTTAATAGGATCTGGAATCAGGATCTGAAAGTGGAGCAGATACCATTTCAGTAAATCAGACACGAGTAAATTTGTCTTCTGACACTGAGTCCACGGACCTCCCATCTTCCACTCCAGTAGCCAATTCTGGAACCAAACCCAAGACTACGGTGAGTTCTAAATAATAACAGAGAGTCTCTACGTGTAAATGTTGATGATCATCAGGTAAGAGTTGATATTCATTCGATATAGAAGAAATACTGTTGGAATCTTAGCCATAGTGACTTAATGATATTTAATTTATTTAATTAAGTACAACCCTAGAAAAATGTTTTTTGTTTTATAAATGATAACACAAGTACTTCACTGAAACAGGTCATGAATCAAGAATTATTCGAAACGTGCTAATTAAATTTCATTGCCGGATACTCAGAGCTTTAAAGAGCCAAGAATGCAAAATCTGGAGATGCCTTTCCCTACACTATTATCTTGACAGTATTGCTTACCAGTTAGAAAATTGTTCCTCTAAGATGTGATGAATGATAGACGACAGATGATGATGGATGGATGGATGGATGGATGGATGGACAGATAGACTGATTGATTGATAAGGAGAAACAGATGATAGAGATAGATGTAGATGGATGGATAGACAGATAATAATTATATAAATATATTTAGATTGATATAGACAGACATAGATAGATAATAGGTTTATATGCAGAGATATATAAAACATCCACATCAAACATTTTCTGTGGGAATTAAATGAAAGAGCACATATAAAAAGTGCTTAGTGAAATGATCAGTGCAGAATAAGTAATGCATAAATGTAAGGTACTGTCATTATTATTATGATAATTAGTAGACTTTACAATGCTATTAAAACTTATTCCACATGGAATAATACACCACGAAAGGAGGAAACTGCTTTGGTTTGAAATGCTTCATGTGTAGATTGTGAATAAAAGACATTTTCCTTTAAGGAAAGAGTTGAACTGCAACAGGAAAATAGTATTTGACTCTAAAAGGTAACACTTATGAAGGAAGTAATTACTACTTCAAATATCTAAAATCCCAGTAGTTCCAAAATAACCTTTCCTAGTTTAGTGAAAATCATAGTGTTGTATTATTTTTTATGCAACACAAAGAAACAAGTTTGGATTGCTTGTTCACTGCATTTAAAATAAAAGTCAAGTCTAAAATAGGACTCAAAAGATAATACTCTGATTTTAAAACATGACAGATTTGCTGCAATTGCAAGAAGAATGAAAATATGTCATTTAAATGACAGATACGCATGGCTTAAATATTTACATGGAAATTATGTTCCCTGTGTTATTTATATCTAAAACATTTTTATGGAATAAATATTTATTGAACATCTACTATATGCCATGCACTAGGCTACATGAAAAAGACTTGGGGAGGAATAAAACATATTCCTTGTCTTTAAACAGCTTACATTCCAGCAAAAGGAGGTAAGTATGTAAACAGTGAAACGCAATGAAATGCTGTACAAGCTATGATAATACTGCATATATTGGGAATAGGAGGAACTAGAAAGATACTGCACAATGATCTTTCGGGGTAAACTGAAAAATCAACAGTAATGTGTGCCAACAGGTACACTGAAATGGAATGGTGCTCTTCATTTTCATAATGGGTAAGGAAAGTTGAGATGCAAAATTAAGATAAGAAAATGGAAGATCTCATTTTACCATATTCTGATTAAAGAAAATGTTTTTCTTAAAAAACCTTCTCAACAGTTTTGACTTGAAGGTTTTGAAAATCATTGATGCATTGGCTTTTTCTTTTTTTTCAACATTGGGGACAGGTGTGGGGCTCACTTTTTAAAGGTATTTATTATTTAATTCACTTTGTAAAGCACCTGTTAGTATCCTGCAGGGCAGTTCTTTTCTCCCTGATATAATTACTGGTGGTATCCACTTTCTCTCTTGGAACATACACATTTCAGTGACTGAGTGTCTCATAATTCATAACAATGAGTTGAAGAATGTGTGCAGTTGCTTACTCTTTCTTCAGTTACCCCTGTGTTTATAAATATGGTCAATATAGTTACACAGAAGTGCGTATACATTTTTATGGTAACCATTTTTTGTAAAAGTTTTTTATGAGAAACATAAACTCATCAGTTTTCACAGTGTTTTAATTTGTTAGAGTGATGGAATCTTTCTTCAATTTTTTTTTGTTTTGCCATCAATTGACCACCCCACAATCGCAATTAAGAAATATTTAAATCAATTATTGAACAGAAAAATATTTGTATGTACTCCAAATCAAATATTTTCTGAAAATATGTTAACTTGGAAGCAAATTGGATGCGAGTAGTATCCAGCTGTTCAGGTGTGACTTGTCATCTGGGAATACAAGCAGAGCTTTCTAGTCATGCCACAACTCATCAGCCAGTGAGCCATGAGAATTGTCATGCAGTTGACTCAGCCTTCACAACAGTATTCCTCTTCAACACCACCAAACACTGCAAAATAATCTTGACCAGCAGCACAGGTGGACTTAGACAATACACATGCAGCTCTGTCCAGCTACTGGACTATAATTTAGTAAAGTTCTCTAGCAGGCCATGAAGAGTACCCAGAAAGAAATACTCCACCATCAAAGACAATCGACTTTTACGAAATTTCTTTTCTTTAAATGGCCAATAATAAGAGTAACTTGAAAAACAGGCTATTTTTTCTTTTTTTTTTCTTTTTTTTTTTGAGACGGAGTCTCGCTCTGTCGCCCAGGCTGGAGTGCAGTGGTGCAATCTCAGCTCACTGCGAGCTCTGCCTCCTGGGTTCACGGCATTCTGCCTCAGCCTCCCGAGTAGCTGGGACTACAGGTGCCCTCCACCACGCCTGGCTAATTTTTTTGTATTTTTAGTAGAGAGACGGTTTCACTGTGTTAGCCAAGATGGTCTTGATCTCCTAACCTCATGATCCACCCGCCTCGGCCTCCCAAAGTGCTGGGATTACAGGCGTGAGCCACCACACCTGGCCTGTTTTTCTTAAAGTTCCAGGATACATGTGCAGAACGTGCAGGTTTGTTACATAGGTATGCATACGTGTGCCATGGTGGTTTGCTGCACCTATCTACCTGCCATCTAGGTTTAAGGTGGGAATGAAAATTAGTTCAACCATTGTGGAAGACAGTGTGTTAATTCCTCAAGGACCTAGAATCAGAAATATGATTTGACCCAGCAATCCAATTACTGAGTATATATCCAAAGGAGTATAAATCATTCTAGTATAAAGACACATGTACATGTATGTTTATTAAAGCACTTAAAGCACTGTTTACAGTAGCAAAGACATGGAACCAACCCGAATGCCCATCAATGATAGACTGGATAAAGAAAATGTGGTACATATACACCATGGAATACTATGCAGCCATAAAAAGGAATGAGACCATGTCCTTTGCAGGGGCATGCATGAAGCTACACTTTTGTTTTGAGGGGAATCATTCTTTCAATTTGTGTGTGGGCATGTTATTTTTTCTTGTTATTGGTGTTGTTATTCTTTTAGGTACACCCTTTTCACTACAGTTCAAAAGTAATTCTTGGGCCATGGATCAATTTTATGGTTGGAATATCAGAATGAAGAATTTTGTCTATGAGAGATTAAACAGATACTTTCTCCCACAATTTGGAGCTTAAGGAATAAATGATATGTAATAACAGTCTAGATACTTTATGAAGAGAGAGAAAACTGTAATATCCTACAGAGCTGTTCTTTTTACCATGAACAAAAGTTTTAATTTTAAGTAGAAATATGAAATTCTAAGAACACCTACCTAACACATCAAACTATAATGAACTAACCCTCTGCTCTGTAATGACACAATCATTACAGCACGACTACCTTCATTCCATAATTAAGGTTACCTTTGATTTGCTGCTATGAAATCTATTTATAGTAGTGACCACAGTAACAACCACAGAAATTTGGCTTTCCTTTTGTGTGTAAGGTCTCTGGGTTTCTAAGTGCCTATTTTTCAGTAAGATTATTTTTCTTTTAAACTTATTCTTAGAATAGGACCGATGAGTCATCATCAGATTTTTCATTAATTCTATGTGTAGATCATGCTGAAAATTAAGCAGTAATATAGATTTCTGAGGTATATTTCATAAAAAAATGAAAGTTAAAATGTAGGTTATCCACTGTCAAAAAACACATTAGAAAAAAGAAGAGGCTTATGGTGTCATGTTACCAAGCTCATCAATTTCTCTCCTAAATTGTTTTGTTCTTTTGACACAATCTCACAATGCCTTTCGTACTAGACTCTTCCATAAACAACCCGCGAGCCCTTGTATCATGTTATGTAAAGTGCTTTGATTCACTGTGCAACAGTACACTGATATCACTCTCTTCAGTGGCTTGAGTTGTTCCTGGTATTAATATAGGATTGTTTCACGAAAGGTTTTAAAGCTGAACATTAAAATCTCTGAGGTTTTGTTGTGGTTGTTTTTCCTAAAGATAATTTACTTATAAGTGCAGATATTCATTAAATCACTATTAATCAAATATTTATGAAGAAAAGAGCCAAGCCCCAGAAAACAAGAAAAATTTCCTATTTGTAAAATAAGTAACTGAAGGAACAAGGAGAGTCTAGCATTCTACTGTGTAGAATAATCAAGAACATCAAGAGTACACAGGATATGGCACCCAGATCCTCAATGCTCCTGAACGCTATACTTTACAGGGATTCACAGGCTCAGCACCTGGATTCAGAATTAATATAAATTGGCTTGAGCTGTTATTATATCAGAAACAAAATGTCACTAATATTTGAATGCTCAATGCACAAGAAGAGTTTTACTGAACAATAAAAAAAATGGCTGGCTCCTCCAAGCATAGTGTAGGTTACAGGCTTTTAACATCATTTTCTAAATCATATATCCACCACAGATTTTATAGATATGTTTACATATATGTATGTGTATGAATGAATGTATATATATGTATACATATAAAATAGATTATATATGCATATATTTGTGTCCTTGTGTGTGTACATATATTCACATCAGATGTTATTTTTCAAAAATAACATGTGATATTATTTTCTGAAGTGTTATTTTGATGTTATTTTCAAAAAGCCTGTGTTGAATAATTCTTAACTATACAGTAGAATTTTTAAAGGGAACCAAATTAGTAATTATTAAGTTCTTATGTAGTCATACAATCTTTCAGTATAAATTATATTTATTAATTATGTATAAAACTTTCTCAGGATAAACACAGAAACCACAAATGCAGATTTATTGTTACCAATGTATAGTGTGGTTTTGCTTGTGTCTGGGATAGGAGTTTCAGCTCTGGAATGATCTGAGAAATAGTTTCAAAACAGAAAAGCTTCTAAGGTAGAAGAACAAAGGTTAATGGGCACCTTTTACAAACAATAATCAACTTGTTCATTATTGCCACTGAAAAAGTAATGGTAGCACTACTTAAAAATAAAAATTATAATGCCAATAAAATACTATTTCAGTGGAGTGTTATTTATTAAAGATGTCTAAGACAGTCTGATTGGGAGTACGACATTAATCCATGATGAATTAGCCACAAGGGATTAGGAAAAACAATTCTTATTCTGGAATTTATTAATCAACTAAATTCCTGAACCTGTAAAATTATATTTTAAATTATGTATGCATAATTTATGTATGCATGGTTTTACATATTTTATATATAATTTTAAAATGTATACATTTACACATTTCTGGGAAGACTGTCAAGAACTCCATCAGTCTTTCAAAGACTGTGCAAATCCCCATGAAGAAATGCTACATTTGAGTTTTCACGGTTCAGTCATTCAGTGAAGGAACCCAGTGTTGAACATGCGAACGTCTTTGCTACAAATAATAAATATGCTGCAGGTACATTGACATTTGGGTTTATTTCCTAATGGATCATTGCACGGTATTACCTTTGCAATAAATTAGGCTATACTTTAGGTATATGTGAAAACTGATTCTTCTATGAAACTATAAAATGTCATTTGCATTTGTTCCAACTATACCACATATAAGCAAAAATAAAACTGATCCAAAAACAAGAGAAAAACCACCAAGGTTTTCCCTTAGTAATTTCAATGTAAACCAGGTTTTATATTTCTAAATCCAATCACATATCCCATACATATGATCATTAAACTAAAGTCACTGTGCTTGTGATATATTAGTGAGAGGTAATGAAACTGAAAAAAAAATCTTGAAATTCTACCTTTCACATCATTTTAAAGTATCATTTAAAATTAAATTTAAAGGCAAATTTTTAGTGATAGCTTTATTTTGTTTTACCATGTTATCATATACTATATGTTTGCTTAAATGGTTATCAGATGAATTTTTTAAGAAGACTGGTGATTTTCCCTAATGCTGTTCAATATTTAAAACAAAACAGAAGGATAAAGTACTGTCTTTTACAAGTAGAAACTGGAAATGTTTATTTTCACTGAAGTCTTGGGGAAAGAATTCAAGGTAATATATAAAATTGGCTAGAATTTAAATAGTATTTTATGTCACATATGTTATTATTAGCTTTCATATCCTGAGGAAAGAAACAGTCAACATACTAAAGGAAAAAACGATATACATGGAATTTTTAAGGGAAGTTTAGACAACTTCTTCAGAAACATCAAAAAATTTGAATTAATACAGTTTTTAATTAAAACATTTAAACACAAATGTAATAGTCTTAGAAAAGAATGTCTTTTGATGTCTTGCTTTTGAATATGGCAATTTCATTTTGCCATGTCAAAGCAATCACATTAAAGTATGTGGATTTTTAAAGAAAGATTTGCTTCTGTTGGTAAGATCCTCATTGTTTATTAGAAAGAAAAATAGGCAAAATTTATAGCTTTTTAAGGAAGAACTGAGTCACCAGAGAGCTGGAAAAAATATTTCTAAAAAGGAAATTGTTCAGTGATTATTATAATGTGATATTTCCTAGAATTCTGTGATTTAAAAGCACAGAGGATTTCATTCACCTAGTCTGGATTTTGAAATAATAAATAAGTGTGCAATTCATTAATTTTGGACTTTGAAAAACAGAAATATTTCCACGGCCATTTACTTTTATATTTAAAATAAATTCAAAATTCTCTAATTTCTTGTTGTTTTCAGATACTGACGTCTGTTTCCAATCCATTTACATGTTAACTCAAGACAGTCTTGTCTGTGATGGGTTATTCCATCTTCACGGTCACCTCCTCATATACATCTTTCCACTTTGAATCTTAGAATTTCATTCTGTCGAGAATAACTTGTATCTTGATATATATAATACTTAGCTCTGAACACATGATACTTAAATAATTTTGGGGGCTGGCAAACTTGTTTTTCTCCCTTGTGTTTAGTTTGTAGTAATCTGGTTAATTAAGTATCTGGAGCAGAATTCATAAAACCAAAAGAAATACGGGAAAAAATGAACACATAAGAATGATAGATTAGAATTGAATAGATTAATAGCATAAGAAATAATATTTAAAAATCATTCCTGCAACCTAAGACTTTAGTCATATGAATAGTACTTTGCATGCTATCATCATTACAATGAGAAAAATTTAGTTTTTCCGTGGACCAATGTGACTTCTTGAATTCAACTCATATTTTCGTCCAAGAGAAATAACAACTGCCAGTTACTTCTGGGCAATAAAAAATGGCAAGCCAACAGCATGCCACATCATAGCAACCAAGAGTATAATTCATAGCACTGAGGAGTAATAATAACTGGTAAGCCATTTTCACAGTCTTCACTTTATTCATTTCAAACCTAGTTGTCTCCAAGCTCTAATTACATATTAAATATTTTCCCATATTTTTCTACCTTCTTGCTAACAGATTGATAATTAATTCTGTCCCAGGCATTTGATGGCCTCTGTGCTCATGTCTTAAAGACAGTTAAAGTCATTGAAAGGTTTAAGCAAGGATTTCATGTGAATATACAAAGTTTACACAGAGGGCCTTCTTGACTATAGTTTTGAGCTGAATCAATCACATACCAAATTTCAAAATGAAACAATAAAAATATAAGCCAACCATATGAGTAGTCTGAAAATCACATATATAAATATTTGGAATCATGTAACAGAAATCTGAAAGTAAAGGAATTGTTTACTCTGTATCCTCATAAAGTCCTAAGATGCCACCACTTGAAAACCTCCTTTATCCTTGACTGTTTTGGTTATTTAATGAATACTTTATGTACTCGCTTCATTTATTTTTAAATCAATCAACTATACTCCTTAGATTTTTGTTGTCATTGTTGGGTTTTAGCGTTTCTCTAGTCTTTCTACTTTAGCCAGCTGGTATAATCCAGATGACCTCCTGAATCAGTAGATTCCTTCAAAGGAAAATCCATTGATGTTATGAAATTGACTCTAATTGTTTCCTCTTTACTGTAGATTGCTTTATCTGTGTTGTTGTTGTTGTTACTGTTGTTGTTTTCTTTATTCATTTTGAAGGTCCTATCTTTGTATCAGGACTGTAGTAATTTACTAGATAAGCATTTACCAAATTAGTTATAATATGAAATGCAGAGAATGATGCAAACAAGCACTAATAACCAAATAAATCAGGGCCGCTCCCACCATGCACTCTAGGGCACCCCCAAAACTGCCGTCCTCTGCCTGTCCCAGCCAAGCTGACTGAGCTTTATCTCTTTTATATATTGGCCTTCTTTATAAGATGTTCTTTGAGTAATCCATGACACAGATTTCATTTAAATTCTAGACTAAACAAATTATAAGAAAGAGGAAAATGTTGACAATTTTTTTTTTATGTCCAGCCTCTAGGATAAGCCTGTTTCATTTCCAAGAGCATCCCCACGAAGTTGCCCCCAGTACTTCCCTGTCGCTAAGGCATTGCATTCATTTCTAAGGTTTCTTCATCAGTGAGTTCTGAACCCTGGACTGGACAGACAATAAGAAACAAAAACAAAATGTAAAAGACAGCAGACACCAGATTAGAGCAACTCAACCTAGCCCGGGTCTATGGTTCTGCTGGCCCAAATCATTGAGGTCTTAATGTAGAACAAATTCAATACTTTAGAACACAGGGTTTTAGGTAGATCATTGGACATTATTTTTTACATTTTTTCTTCTGTGGATGTAAGTCAGAATATTAAATGATTTTTTAGAAGATGAACGTTTAGAATTGAAAACTAGTAGAATTTCCATTTAAAGATATTTCCCAAGCAAATATTAACCAAATATTTAATTTCACATTTAGCATTTCGTGGATATATCAAAGTTGTGAGATCATTCTCCCACTTGTATTTGTAGTTTTCTTTTTGTGTTAAGTCCAATGATACACACACACGCGCACGCTCACACACATAGTTTTGTCTTGCTCAAGGTAGGTGTCTACCTGCATCGAGGGAAGATTGTGGGGTGGGAGTGTTCTGCTTCCTTTTCCTTTCTAGCTTATTCTATACATCACTTGCTAGCACCTTTGTGATGGGGGGCAGAGGCCTTGCAAGAACAGGAAAGTTCTCACTGGATGAAAATATGCAATCTGTAGGTCCACAAGATATTAATCTCTTGCCTGCTATATCGATTATCTGTTGTTGTATAATAAATTATAAACTTAGTGGCTTAAAGTAACAATAACGCAACCTCATGAAAGACCTTGCCTGAACAAACCACTCCTGAATTCCTGATACATGCACACCATGGAACATAATTGATGATTAGTACTGTTTTAAGCCATTAAATTAAGAGGGGGTTGTTATGCAGCTAATCTCACAGTTCCACGCATGTCAGAAATTTAGAGCAACTTAGTTGTATGGGTCTTTCGTGAGGCTGCAGTCAGTTGTCTGCTGGAATGCAGTTCTCTAAACGTTTTACCAGGGCTACAAGATCTACTTCGAAATTGGCTTATTCGTGTGGCTGAAATATTGGTGTTCGAACATTGGCTCTTCTCTATGTCATTTTTCTCAATGGGAATGCTTGAGCATTCTCATGTGGTGGCACCTGACTTCCACCGATGCAAGTGAAAGAAATCAAGGAAGTCAAACTGTCTTATCTTCTGTACTGTACTGATCACGCAGACTAGCCCTGTTCAATGTTGGAAAAGGTCTAAACAAGGGCATGTTTATAAAAAGAATTATTGGGTGGCAACTTGGAGGCTGGTTACCACAATGTGACAATGTGCCATGTCTCTAATGCAAGCAAAAGCACTAGCCTGCTCCAAATGGCCCCCAAAAGATAGCATCTGTTCAAAGTTCAAGATTTTGTTAAATAAATCAGATCCAGGTGCAGATGAGACGCTGCAGGTCTCAGGTGCACTTCCTCAAGCACAGCCCCTCCGGTATAGTTCCTCTTTCTCTGAACATATGCAAACTCACCCAACATACAGTGGTATGGCAGATATGGAATAACAACCGTAGACCCTCTCATTCAATAAAAGGAGGAAACAGAAGGCACGTAAGTGTCACTGGTCTATACAAATCCTGAAAAACAACAGGGCACATATTTGAAGGTCTTTGGCTGGAATCATTCATACCGCTTCCTGGGGTTGATCCACCAGTTCCTTCCTGTGAGATGTGCCCTTTGAGTCATTCTTCCTTTTTCTAATGAAATGCCCCGTGTTTGCAAGTGAGATGATTTCTCATCTTGTTTTCTGACTGTGATACTTTGGTGGTCCAAAGATGTCTTTTAATTTTTCACTATCTCTGAACTTTTGAGCCAAGCTATAGGTGTTTCTGCTCATATGATCTCTTTCAACTTTGTGTATTTCTTATGTATCTTATTAGGGCTCACTCCATTACACAAAAGTCACAGTTACAAAATTCATCAAGATATGTCTTTCTCTACCTCAGACATCTATTGAGGCTTCTGAAAGACATTGTCTTCATAATCCTTTTAAGCCCTACTTTTTAATGTATGGGATCTGTGAAGTATCTTTCAAAAATTCTAGAGGACTTAGAACTGCCTGAATAGTTCTCTGAAGTATCATCTCAGGTATTTCTGAGGTCTTAGCAAAGGATTTTATTTTGAGACCATATTTTCTTGAGTATGATCTACATTTGTTTTTCATTGTTTCTTTATTGTAGTATCATTTGCTGTCTAGAAAGGCTGTGAAGAAACAAAGTTTTATTTTTGAATCCAACAAATTCTGGCACCTTTATATTTTAATACTCCTTTAGCTTATCTGTCTCCTCTTTCTTTTTTTTTTTTTTTTTTTTTTTTTTTGAGACGGAGTCTCGCTGTCGCCCAGGCTGGAGTGCAGTGGCGCAATCTCGGCTCACTGCAGGCTCCGCCCCCTGGGGTTCACGCCATTCTCCTGCCTCAGCCTCCCGAGTAGCTGGGACTACAGGCGCCCGCCACCTCGCCCGGCTAATTTTTTGTATTTTTAGTAGAGACGGGGTTTCAACGTGTTAGCCAGGATGGTCTCGATCTCCTGACCTCGTGATCCGCCCGCCTCGGCCTCCCAAAGTGCTGGGATTACAGGCGTGAGCCACCGCGCCCGGCCTCCTCTTTCATTTCAGTATACGTAATAAGAAGTCAGAAATTACCTTTAACCAAGCCTGGAAATCTCCTTATCTAGATCATTATATTCTTTAGGTACATTTTTTACTTTCTACATTACCACACACAACAATATTGCTAAATTTTTTCCTCTAAATAAGAAGGATTCCCTTTTTCTAATAACACTTTCTTTATTTTTCTTTAACCTTTCACTGAAAGCCCCCTCAAAAGCTACCTGGCTTATGCTAACAGTATGTTTGATGTCCTTTCAATACTACTCTGTTTCCATCTGTCTAGCATCCACCTGCCTCCCAATCTCAAAGTCTCCATCATATTTTGTCAGTTTTTAGTTTTTTTGTTATGGTGCCCTAAAAATCCATCCCAGCCATCTATTGCTGCATAACAAATCCCCCTTAATTTAATGGCTGAAAACAGTACTGATCATCTATTATGTCCCATGGTTTGCAGGTATTGAGAATTCAGTAGTGTTTTGTTCAAGCAGTTTTAGGACAGGGTCTCTCATGAGGCTGCAGTTGGGGGTTGACTGGCTCATTTCCAAAACAGTATACTCATGTGGTTACAAACTGGCTCCTCTCCATCTGGATCTCTCTGTGAAGCAACCAAAATGTTCTTACGTCATAGAAGCTTTGTTCCTCCAGAGTGAAAAATCTAAGAGACAACGACAGAGACTGCCACGCCTTTTATGACCTAGCTTTCAAAGTCACACACCAAGATGTCTCTTGTATTCTACTGGTCATATGAACCTATCCTAATCAATGTGACAGTGGACTCTACCAGACATATCTACCAGGACACACAGATCACTGGAGGATGTATTGCAGATTAGCTACCACACCTGTGATCTCCTTAACGTGGCCTTTGCACCTCCTTTTTTGCAGGTCAGTTACTTTTTCCACAACCTGTAGAGATACGTGAACACTTTCATCTTCTCCCGGCTGAGGCTTCTTTATATCTCTAGTCAACCCTAGGGACAGGCCCTTACACGATGCCATGTGATACATCTCTGGTCTGTGAGAAACACAAGCACTGCCAGTTTCCAGCCAAATTTAAGAATTTAGCTCATACTAATACAGCCACACCTCCTCTGGCTTGTTACCAGCTAGACACCCCAACAAGCCAGGTCAGGCTCCTGTGTCTCCCACACTACAGGGACTCATGTCAAGCCCTCCATGTCTATAAGGTCCCTTTGAAGTCCCTTTCATCAGCCTTGAAATGAGGGCAGGCATCATATTAACCCTTCCCTAGAGGGCAAAGTGTGTTGGAGGTGGATGTTTTCACTGCATACAAAAATCCCAAATCACTTTTTCCCAAATCGTGCAAGAATCTCAATTCTTGATCCTATTATAACCTCCAAGAAGGCAGGAGAATTGAGGTCTTGAATGCATTCTCCTCCAAATACTTCTTGCAAGCTCTGCAGCTTGGTCTATCTCACTACTTACTTTGATATCGAATTTGTCCCCTTAGGGTTTGGGTCAAAATTTTAATTTTAACATCCGATCACAGGGAGCTGTGTCCTGAGCTGTGATTATGAATACCAGGAGCACATTTCATCTCTGCTGCCATCTGAGAGATAAGAACACTTCGAGGAATGTAAAACCACAGAGTCAAGGTTATAGTGGTATTTTTTGTCATTCATTAATACTATATTTAAATGGGACTAAAGATGGGTACATACAACCCAAAGTGGGGTGACTACCACCCTTTGGTTCCTTAATTTGTCCTGATAAAAGCAGAGTTTATATCCACAAAAAGGTGGAGGAAGGGGAATATTAAACAATGGGTTTTCTTTAAAACATTAAATTAGAACACATGAAATGGTCAGACGACATGTTAAAACACTACAAAATAGTTTGAATATTGACTTACAATGGAAACAAATACAAATAAATTTGAACACAATAAAAAAGTGATGATGACTCTGCTTTAAAATGGGTCCAAGTAGTTTTCCGGGGAGAATAACATATAAGTGTTTATCAGTTTGCCTAGACTCTAACTCGTTTCTTATTTGTGGTCTTTATGACATAATTTTCTATTATGCAGCTTGATTCCTTCCTCAGTTCTAGCAAGTGCTAATGAAACTTCCTTCCATCCCAGTCAAACTTTTATGGGAGTGGTGGTGAGGAGGAGATCCAATGACAAGGAATGAATGGTGCCTGGCCAGAAAGGTTTTGTAAAGTTCAGTTTGCTGCTGAGATCTAGAAACTTCAGCAGCTTTCTGGGATTAAGAAGGATGGATTTCCCCTCCCTGTGTCTATGTGTTCTCATTGTTCAGCTCCCACATATGAGTGAGAACATGCGGTGTTTCGTTTTCTGTTCCTGTGTTAGTTTGCTGAGAATGATGGTTTCCAGTTTCATCGATGTCCCTGCAAAGACCATGAACTCAATCTTTTTTGAGGCTGCATAGTATTCTATGGTAAGTGTTAGGACAAATACCTAAGGCCTGAGGGGCTTAAAACCTAGATGATGGGTTGATGCGTACAGAAAACCACCATGGCACATTTATACCTATGTAACAAACCTGCAAGTTCTGCACATGTACCCCAGAACTTGAAGTAAAATAAAATAAAATAAGGATGGATTTCAGCAATAAGTAAAGAGGGTCCCCAATTTACAATGATTTGACTTAGAATTTTTTGACATGAGCCTGATGCAAAAGCAATATGTTTTCAATAGAGTATTCAATAAATTACACGGGATATTCGACACTTACAAAATAGGCTTTGTGTTAGATCTCTTTGCCCAACTGTAGGTTAATGTAAGTGTTATAAGCACATTTAAGACAGGCTAGGCTAAGCTAGGATGCTCAATAGGTTAGGTGTATTAAGTGCATTTTTGACTTAAGATTTTTTTTCAACTTACAATGGATTCATTGGAACATAACCCCATTGTAAGTCAAGGAGCATCTGCACTGTTGTGGGGTCTCAAACGGTCAGATCAGGAATGGGTGAAGGCAATTAGGCCAGGCTGACTCCAGGCAAGTAAAAAGAACAAATTCTGACTTTTCAGCAGCATGGACACAGGAAACAGGCCCCAAGGATACCTATTTTTATTCAGACTTAGACTAAAGAACCGTTTTTCTTGACATTTCAGAAATACTGGAACACTAAATGCAATTTTTCTAACCAAATACCTGTGAAAACTTTCATTAAAATGTTATCATCAAACCAGAAAACATTTATTGCATATCTGATGCCATTTAAAAGCTTGAGGCAAAAACTTAAAATTATTTCAATATCTTTCATTACTGTTAACATTATATATTTATTATTTATCCTGATTCCTAGCATATCTCTGAGTTACACCAAGTAAACAACATAACCCATTAATTGGTTTAAGAATATTGTCAGAGTGGATTATTCGTAATTATATTTGCTGTATGAATTGGAAGGGACATTACTAGGACATGAACTATATGCTCTTTTCTGCATCTCTAGAACTAAATTAAATCAAAGTTTTAATAAGTTAGGCACATAACGGAAGTTCTGTTCATCTTTCAGGCTGATGAAAGACTCTCAATATTGTTACAAACAAAAGAACATGTAACAAAAAAACATGTAATAAGGTGTCTGAATTTAAAATAGTTTTAAGATAAAAATACATGGTTTTGAAAGGTTTGTAAATAAGTGAAATAATTCAATAAATATGTATATAGTATCTGTAGAAGAATCTTTTCAGGTTTTTTTCATTGCATTTTTATACCATGTAATTTATAGTGCACAAGAATGTTCCTTCACCCAATACAGATATTTTAGGGAAAACTCTAACATACTTAATCTCTTCTTGGATCACAAATTTGATTGCCATATGTAGTCTTTTCAAACACTATATTTGAATCCTACAGAGAATTAATACATCACTAACTTAAAATTCTATCGCATTTAGATAACTGTGGGGCCTTTCAAAGGACTTTCTTCTCTGATGAGAAATAGGACAGGTAGACTTTTACAATTACTAAGATTTTTTTCTGGAATTAGGACATCTTACACCTTGAAAAGAACTTTAAGTTTTAGGGTACATGTGCACAATGTGCAGGTTTGTTACATATGCATGGCACATGTATACATATGTAACAAACCTGCACATTGTGCACATGTACCCTAAAACTTAAAGTATAATAATAAAATAAAATTTAAAAAAAAGGATAATGTCCAAAAAAAGATCAGTGCTAATTAAAATAGTAACATCATTAACACTTAAAAGAGTACTACTTCAAAGGTACTACTACACTTAACATATTTTTATTCTTTGATAAAAACATGTTAAGTGTAGTAGTACCTTGCTTTTTGTTTTCCTGTTTTTGTTTTTTCTTTCAGAATGCTGCCATCTTCTGGTCAAATTATATCACTTCACAAACACAAGACTCGAAATAGGAGGCCAATAGATTTACACAAATTTCCCTTTTATCATTAGGCGCCACCTATTCAAGATTTGTGCCTCCAATGTTCCAAAACAAGAGACCTTTAAAGTACTGTTAAAAAAAATTTCAGAGGTTAAATCCACAGAAGACGTTTCATGACTTGTAATGTTATGAAAATATAGACGTTTCAGGGCTTGTAACGTTATGAAAATGTGTATCGCACAGTAAATGCACAGGAAAGTATAGATAAGGGAATATTTGACTTTGCTCTAGGTCTATAAAAATTGATGTCTTAGGATAAGGAAGCAGTTTTGACATATATTTGCTGTTTTCATTTCTACAAACTTTAATTTTCAAGGTTACTCACCTTGAAAGAGTATGTTTATAGTAGTTTATAAAAGCCGTTATTGAATAACTGTCCTCCTTACAACAAAGCAGACACTTGTGGCTGGCAAATTTCTTCTTGTCACAGAATTGTTCATATTTGTGACCATCTTTAGATTATTTATCAAAGGATATGTAATTTAAAGGGCTAGTTTTTATATACATATGCATGATTACTTCCAAATTCCACACTTCTACACTCATTCCTTTTCATTCACTCATTCATTGAACAAACATTGGAAATCTTATGTGTCAGTCTTTATGCTAACCACTAAATTCAAACAGAAATAAGATGCTGCCCTTGGACTTGAGAATTCACAACTGAGTGGATACCTTTAGCCAAGCCCTAGAAATCGTCACTGAAACACACTGTTCTCAACTTACTCCACCAAAGAGATTTTAATCTACCCAAACCAAGAACTAGTAAATCACAGTGCAAAAGTGTGAAGCATCCAAAAGATTCATTAGCTACTGCTTTTTGTCACTGGTTTCTACCAGATTTTTTTTCCTTCTCCTCTTTATATTTACAATCTGCTGACACATATAATCTATACCATATAGCCATGAAATCAGCCACAGTAACCAATTTTGAACAGGTGAAGAATCCTGACCCAGTGAAACCCATAGACTGGAGTCACTCATCAAGAGCTAGGATTAAATGTTGGCTCAAAAGAGCCGTCTGATCTTGCTTCAGTCACCTCTAACTCCTCTGTGGGTGAAAGCAGGAATTTACTTTTCCAAAACTTTGAAATGTTACCTGAAGCAGAATTCTACAGAAAGACACAAACTATACTGATAATTCTAAATTTCAACTCCCCCTTTGCTACTTATAAATCCAAAAAATCAAATCACTCTTCCTGAGCTACCCACCTGCCTTATTTCTTAACATTTCTAACTCTCTATTCAACAAAATCACACGTTCTACTCTAACCATATTGCCTTTCCCATATTTAAAATTGCCTGATTGAAAGGGTAGGTTGCAGGCAGGGAGAAGAGGAGGGGGTTCTACACCTCATAGATGGGTGGGATTCCGGGAGTCAACCATGTTTCTTATAGCACCAAGTCACGCAGAAGATTTGGTCACCAGAGTGCTTACTTAGAGGAATAGAGGAAGGAGAATGTTTGTCATTAGCAAATGCTTCCCGTTTGGACTTATTTCACTTGCAGCACCCCGCTGTTTTTCCCATTATTCAAAGAAAGCAAGTAAATAACTGCATGCATTGCTGTATGGTGTTTACTGGACAATGTGAAAATGTTTTCCATTTTCTCTGGAAGAGAAAATGGGAGCCAATACACAGACATGAAGCATAAGAAATCATGTGATCAGTTTCTCATGGCCAAACCATTTTCTTCAGCTAGCGGATGCCACGAAGACGATGTGGGAAAAGGTTTTCCTCTTTTTGGTGCTTTTTCTTGGAAAAGTAATTGGAGCAACATGATTTAAACTCTTTTCGGTTCGTGCATGTGAAAATATTAGGAGAAAATTTGAAAATCTACAAGTCACTCTCACAGGTATCCTAGATCTCCTTATTCCTTGATATTTTGTAGCCGATGTTGACTATATAGAGAGATATACATTTTTTCCTCCTGTATTCTTTTAACAAAAGCGTAATACTCTGCCAAATATTACTCCATAAAGTGGCATCTGTAGTTTATGTTCTTCTTTGAATTCAAATGATGGCCAAGCTTTGACAAATATAAATGATTCCTTTCTCATCTCACAGCAAAAAAATAAAAATAAAATAAAATAACAGTCATCATTGAAAATATTCAATTTAGATAGAAGATACGTATCTCAAAATAATAAGAGCTATTTATGACAGACCCACAGCCAATATCATACTGAATGGGCAAAAACTGGAAGCATTCCCTTTGAAAAATGGCACAAGACAGGGATGACCTCTCTCACCACTCCTATTCAACATAGTGTTGGAAGTTCTAGCCAGGGCATTCAGGCAGGAGAAAGAAATAAAGGATATTCAATTAGGAAAAGAGGAAGTCAAATTGTCCCTGTTTGCAGATGACATGATTGTATATCTAGAAAACTCCAACGTCTCAACCCAAAATCTCCTTAAGCTCATAAGCAACTTCAGAAAATTCTCAGGATACAAAATCAATGTGCAAAAATCACAAGCATTCTTGGCCGGGCGCGGTGGCTCAAGCCTGTAATCCCAGCACTTTGGGAGGCCGAGGTGGGTGGATCACGAGGTCAGGAGATCGAGACCATCCTGGCTAACACAGTGAAACCCCGTCTCTACTAAAAATACAAAAATTTAGCCGGGCATAGTGGCGGGCGCCTGTAGTCCCTGCTACTCAGGAGGCTAAGGCAGGAGAATGGCGTGAAGCCGGGAGGCGGAGCTTGCAGTGAGCCAAGATTGTGCCACTGCACTCCAGCCTGGGCGACAGAGCCAGACTCCGTCTCAAAAAAAAAAAAAAAAAATCACAAGCATTCTTATACACCAATAACAGACAAACAGAGAGCCAAATCATGAGTGAACTCCCATTCACAATTGCTTCAAAGAGAATAAAATACCTGGGAATCCTACTTACAAGGGATGTGAAGGACCTCTTCAAGGAGAACTGCAAACCACTGCTCAACAAAATAGAAGAGAACACAAACAAATGAATGAACATTCCATGCTCATGGATAGGAAGAATCAATATCGTGAAAATGGCCATACTGCCCAAGACGGAGTCTCTCTCTGTCACCCAGACTGGAGTGCAATGGCACTACCTTGATTCACTGCAAGCTTCACTTTCTGGGCTCAAGTGATTCTCCTGCCTCAGCCTCCTAGGACCAAGGATTACAGGCGCATACTACCACTCCTGACTAATTTTTGTATTTTTAGCAGAGATGGGGTTTCACCATGTTGGCCACGCGGGTCTCAAACTCCTGACCTCATGATCCACCCGCCTCGGCCTCCCACAGTGCTGGGATTACAGGCATGAGCCACTGTACCCGGCCTGGGGTGACATTCTTACAAAAGATAATTTTGGCCCCCTTCCCTCACTCATATACACTCTCTTGCCATGTAATGCCTTCCACCATATTATAAAATAGCAAAAAGGCCCTCACCAGGTGCAATGCTTGATCTTGAACTGCTTAGCCTTCAGAAATGTGACCTAAGTAAAATTCTATTGTTTATCAATACATTAAAAAAAAAGAATTTGAGATGGATTTGGCATGACCTTTGACCTCCTTTGTCAGAAGATAAGTCGAAGCTTGGATTTGGAGAGCTCCACTGTAGCAGATCTGAATCCATAGCAAACTACACAGCCACTGACCTTGCATTTTTATTCTGAGACCTATTTCAAGAGGCTCAGTTTAATCAAAAATTATACATTAAATACAGATACAGTTCATTCACTTATAGCATTTCCACACATTTCCTAAGCAGAAAATATCACATTATGAGTCCCTATAATTTGTCCTTCATTCACACTTTTTCTGCTTTATTAAAGGCTTTTGGAAAACAATCAAACTTAGATGACATCTTTGCAAATCTGGAAATTATGCCAAATTTTCCATAAAATGAAATAATACCGGATTTTAACATTATGAATATTTTATAAAGTAGAACATGCTTTATATATGAATGCAAAGCTTATAAGTTTTTCTCTTTTTTATTTGTACTAAGCCAGCTTTAAAATATTTACATTTTAATTAAATAATTGAACTAGCCTCTTTTAAAGACGTTCATGAAGATTCAGTGAGGTTATGGAAGTAAATCTCTTAGCAGAATATTCAAGGCACAGGGAGCCCTCTCCCAGTGACCATCATTTTTATATCTCAATTTATATAGTAGATGTACTTTCTGAAAGTAATACATACAATTATTTTTGGAGAATTGAATAAAATTTTAAATAATGTTATTTGCATGTTGTGTAAATCCTATGGCAAACTGTTTATTGGGCTGAATCAAATTCTGATATTTTCTGTACTAGGGTGTATTAAACAGACACATATATAATTGAGAAAGGGAACAGATCAGGACAACTGGGTTTAACTAACAAGATGAGGAGATCATCAGCCCAGAAAGGACAACTTTGTCCTGTACATCCGAGAATAAGATAAACAATGATTTATAATCAAGTATCCAGAAAGCCTGAAATATTCAACCTCAGGGAAAACCAAAAGATGAAGAAGGCTTTTATCATCAGGGAAAAGCCCACAGCACACTTTTGTATTCAAAATGACACTAATGAATGTGGTCATTATCTGGGAAGACAAGGATTAAGAAAAAGATTCATAATTCAGTCACCCGTTTGCACCCATCTTAAAAATTCTCATTTGGGGCCAGGCTCACCCTTGTAATCCCTGCACTTTGGGACATCTAGGCCGGAGGAATGCTTGAGCTTAGGAGTTTGCAGCTGTAGTGAGCTGTGATCGCACCACGGCACTCTAGTCTGAGCAACAGAATGAGACCCTGTCTCAAAAATAAAAAATAAAAATAAATTGTAATTTGGGTTTAGGCTCAGCCATGTCTGCTGCTTCCTGTAGCTACTTCCTAGCTGCTGTTCTCTGAGCCAACCCCTGGTGGATGCTGGGCATGGTGTTTGATGGCATTCAAATCTGTTGCCTTATTAGGAATATTCCAAAGAACATTTATTATAAATTATAAAGATATATATTTCTGGAAAATTTGTTTCCCTGCATTCTAAATAACTTACCATATAGGCCCTTTTCTATATAAATAAAACTCTTGTGCTAAAGAAAATATTAAGATGAGTTAATATAACTATTTCTTTTTAAATGGGATGCCTTGAACTTTCCACTATCAATGACGTGTTCCTTTTTACTCACAAAGATGAGGAAATAGTTTAGCGCTTAGTTAGAATATGACAGACAGTTCATGAACTGTATCTGATAACTGTAGTAACTCAGATGTCAGCAAGTCAGCCCCAGTGTTTCATCAGTGATGAATGCAAACACTTAAAGGAAGGATTTCTGCACTGTGTTGGCGTCTCTGAAGAACTGATGTTCTTCCATGTCAACACAGAAGAATTTGTTTGGACATTTTCTTGGAGTGCTAGTGAACTGACCACCAATCCTCAAACGGTTCTTCTGTTTGTGTACAAAATGGTTGTAAACAGGCTACTCATGGAAATGACCCTTTTTATTGATTGCAATTCTCTCTATAAGTGTTTGATCCTTATAAGCAATTAGTAAGGAAAGCATGATTTTGAACCTTTGGCTCGTGATTTTCTGAGACTTTTAGAATAACCTCTATATAAAACTAAATTATATCTATTTGGCCCCATTTTTTCCAGACATTTAGTTTTCTATTTCCCACTATCAAAGCCACACACACACACACACACTTTTTTTTGAAGAAATAACAAGTGAAATGTAAATGGTAACGAGTTGTGACTATTTCCTAATAAGCAAAATCTCAATTTGCAAGTCACATGCACGATGCCCCGATCTATTTTAATGTGTTTGGTGAATGCATTTTCAAGAGGATCTGGCTCTTGAGAAGGTACCATTATAGAGCCACAGTTTTTATTTTCTCCTTTTATGATATACTTCCTCAGTAGTGAACATCCTTTCAAATGCCCAATATTACCTTCTGGTCTGTACATTACATTTACTCATTCAATAATTATTGAGTGAGTGCCTACTGTGTGCCATGCATTGTGCTGGATAGTGGAGCTACAATAGGCTTCCTCAAGGAGCTCACAGTTAAACAGGAAACACACTAATGCACAGCCAACTCTAACTCAGGAAAGCCTGGAGTGGGACAGCACCATTCTTTCTGAGGGAATTAGCTGAAGGTGTTACACAATGGGTGCTCAAAAAATATTTATTGGATATTTAAGGACAGATGGATCTTTCCTGATGTAGAATGCCAAGGAAATAACTCTCCAAGCAAAAAAAAAAAAAGTCATTGTGAGCCAAGGCGTGAAGGTGCAAAAGTCCACCGCATGTTTGAGGACTAGCAGTTGGCTCCAATTGTCAAAGGTACATGGACTTACATGTTCAGAGCTGAGGAGCAGAGGCTGGTTAGAATCAGATTCAAAAGCATCTCCTACACTGTGACAAAGAGGAACTTGAAGAGAGTGAGAGAGACAGAGACAGAGAGATAGAAACAGAAAGAGAAAAACATATGTGCATTTTGGAAAACCTCTTTTGAATGGGGACAGAATACATTAAAATGACTTTAGGGAGGGAGACAATTTTGAAGGCTGTTCTGGAAATCCAGGGACAAAATGATGACGCCGAAACTGAGGTAATAGCAAAGAGGAAGAGGAGGCATACATGGATTCAAGATACACATTAAGGAAATAATAAAGTAACTTATTGGATAAACAGAGTAAAGACAAGGAAAAAAACAAGACCACAGAAAGATTGAGCAACTAGGAAAATGATGGTGCTTACCTTTGTCATCCATTTTTCCTTGATCTGAAAACAACCCAAATTTCCATTTGAGGATTTCCCCCAATAATACTTAGTTCGTATGGTGTGGCAGGGCTACCCTCAAGAATAGAGTACGTCACCCACATCAGAGCCATTAAACACTGCAGTTCCCTTGGCCAGGATCATGTGTAAGTGTGACTGTGTGGCTGTGTTGTGGTGGGGAGTAGGGAAGGCAGGGATCCACTCGTCCTAAGCTAGTCCAATGAGGGTTTGAACACCAGAAACTGCGTGAGAGGCTGTCTCCCTTGCATTGGATTTAGAGCAACAAGAATATGAGGCTTGGGATGCTGTACACATCTTGCCACCCCAGAAAGAAAACCTAAGAACGTAGCCAAAAGAAAAGCAGAGCTTAGTGACAGAACAAAAAGGAGCATGTTTTGGTGACATTAGCTGAGCCCTGATTTCAGCCACACCTGAAGCCAGCCCTACAACTGGACTTTTCAGTTATGCACGTTAATATGCTTAGGCCCTTTATGGGAGGAACAGCCCTCACTCACAGGAACATCAAGGATAATGCCTGGGAAGCAGTTTAAATATCTCTGTGTGGAGCTCCAAGAAGAAGTCTGCCCTGGAGTGTAACCCACAGACAGGTGGTTTTAGACATGAGATGAGCACACAAGTGGCAAGAATAAAACACTGAGAGAAAACAACGGGGAGCACCAACATTCAGTCAGTCAGTCACTCAACAAATGCTCATCAAACACCTACTGTATGTCAAGTAGTGGATCCGTGAACAGAATGGACATTAATTATGAAAAATAATAATTTTTAAATCCCTGTTTTGTTAGAGCTTATAGTATATTGAAGAAAAAACAAACAAAATATAAGTAAAATATTCATTGCCTTTACTAATGATATGCTCTAGGAAGAATGGGTGAGCTGTGGCCTTTAGACAAAGTGATCAAGGTAGGCTTTACTAAGAAGGTGACATTAGGTTTTTGAGTAAAGTTTGGAAGGAAGTGAGAAAACAAACAATGTACATACCTGGAGAAGGGCAAACTAGATGTTCTGGGAAAAGCCACAGGAGGTCATTCTTCTGGGGCCAAGTGAGCGAGGAGGAGTGACCAGTCCCAAAGACCTCAGAGGCCTTGTAGGGACTTTGACTTTTTTTTCCTTTTTCCATTTTTTTTTTTTTTAAGTTTTAAATCTGACTTTGACTTCTATTCTGAGTGAGATGAGAAGCCAGGGGAGGGCTCTGAGGAGACGATCGGAGAGCCGACTTGGGGTTCAAGTGGACCACTTTGGCTGTGTGTTGAGAACAGCTTATGGGCACAAGAAGGGGGATCCAGGAGACCAGGCAGGAGGCAAGTGTAACCCTCCAGGCCAGAGAGGATGGTGTCTGGACCAAGGAAGTAGCTAGCAGCAGTGCTGGTAAAATTGTTCTTATTCTAGATGTATTTTTAAGGGAGAAAAAAACAGGGGTTCTGATGAATTGAACATTGTCCATAAGAGAAAGAAAGAAGCCAGGGATGACTTCAGGGCTTCTGCCCGAGCTACTAGAAGAATGAGAGAACTCATCAAAGGAAACTGAATTGGAGTGCCCAAAAAATTAGGAGAGAGTACTGTTGCAGAAAACAATCATTCAGACGAGGAGATGAGAACCGAAAATTGCCCATGTGATTTAACAACAAAAGAAAAAGCAGCCTCTCATGACTTTGGTGAGAACATTTGTAATCTTTTTTTTTTTTTTTTTTCGACCCAGCCAAAAATACTGGACGTGCGAGACTATGAAAGGAGGTATCAATAGGTTAAATAGAAAGAATGAATCTATTAGAAGTTCAACCAAATTCAACAACTCCACTCTATGGCATGACAGGAGAGAGACAGAAGGTTAAGACACAGCACATGTTCTCTAGGCCTGTAGGCACTTACAGACTATTGAGGATGCAGGATGGACATATGAATGGAAATAAGGTGAACCGTGTAATCATAGCACTGCCCTGAATGTTCTTATTCTCTAAACATCATCAAAGGCTGAGGCAATCAGATCATTTGAGGTCAGGAGTTTGAGACCAGCCTGACCAACATGGTGAAACCCTGTCTCTACTAAATATAAAAATTAGCCAGGCATGGTGGTGAGCACCTGTAATCTCAGCTACTTGGGAGGCTGAGGCAGGGGAATTGCTTGAAACCAGGAGGCAGAGGTGGCAGTGAGCCAAGATCACACCGCTGCCCTCCAGCCTGGGCAACAGAGTGAGACTCCCTCTTAAAATAAATAAATAACCATCATCAGAGATGGACTGAGCAGGAAGAACATCACTAACATCCATATCACTTATCCTTACTTGGAAGAAACTTGTTTATTCTAGAAACTGGAAACCATAAACATCCTTCCCTTCCGTGAGGGCTCTTTCACCTAACAACTCAGAGTATCTGTGTTTCCACCAGGCTGCCAAGGTTAACCTATTAGGAATGATGCATGTCAACTTGGTACAAATAACTGTGGCTCAAATGGAAAATTCTCTCTGACAGAACACTGGCATTCTGTAAGAACTTTTTTTTCTATGCAGAAAAAAAAAAAAAAATTTAACTGCCTTGGCTTGCGTTTTCCCTTGGGTAATATCTCACTGTAGCAACCTCAAGTCCTTCATGATTTCCTTGGGGCAAATGAGAACTTGACCTTCTTGTTGTGCTGCTGCCTGAGGTGCAAGGCAATGCTTTAATCAACAACAGACATCTTTACTATGAAGAGGATGCCAAGTTTCCAGAAAGAAGGATGGAAAGCGGGGGAAGGGAAGAAAGGAACGTATGAATTTGAGTTTGGTAATGGAAAATATACTGTCCTAGGAGATAGAAGACATGGTGTCTGAGGGCCCTTTATCAAGTTTGAGACATTAATCTCTCAATTTAAAGTGGGGGTCAAATCTAATCTGTTTAAAAATTCCCAATTATGTCTTTCAACAGAAGAGCTCTAACTTTCTTTTCCACTTTACATATTACTGGATTAAATTCAGCTGTTTGGAACACAAGGGCCTCTTGAAGCCAGGGTCAAAGATGTAGTCACTGCTTTAAACACAGAACTTCACCATTCCAGAAACCATTCCCAGCTCCAGAGGTATAGACACTCTTCCAAACCCCACACAATTATTGGTCATAATTGGGATTTGAAGAGAGTCTATGTTTATTTCTGTGAAATTCCTGTCTAAGCCGAAAAACTTCTCAAGGCTCTTGTCCTAATCTTACTATCTCATCCTCATTTGCAAATGTAACTTGAAGAATCTCTTGAAACCTCTCCTGTCTCACTTCCTTGCCCTGGTGCTGGCAGACTGGCCAAACCTGCAGAATTCATCCTGAAATTGACCAATTTCAGATGAAACAAAACACAAAAGAGAAGAATAAACTGCAGAGTACTTCACTTCTACTACAGAGTATTTCACTAAACATCACAAAGTGCCTGATATGATGACTTCAAAGGATACAGGAAAGATTCAGTGTGCTAGACTATGTAAAGAAAACACACCCTTCACAAAAACAAATAAGCACGTCTTTGTCTTATTTTGTTTTGTTGTTGTTGTTGTAATCAAGAAACAAGGTTGTACAAAAAAACAATTCATGGGAAGATCTTTGGTAGGTGGAGGCTGCTTTTTGCTTTTCTTCTATTGGGCCCCCTAATGACGATTGAGATATGCAAGCTAACATGTAGGCAGCACCTAAGAACAGGAGGCTGTCTGTACTACAGGATCTTTAAGGACAGTGTAGAATCACTGCCAGCAGTTCTCTGTGTTAGGTTTCCTCACAGTTCATGATCTGGATGGATTGAGTGAGATGCATTTCACGTCCTGAGTTATAAACCCTGCAGGTCCCCTTCTCCTTGTAAAACTGATCAGATCTAGCCTTGCAAGACCCAAGGTATGACAGCAGCCAGAACGAGTGACCAGGACTAAAGTAGAAACCCAAAATTAGAAAAGAGTAAAGGATTTTAAGGAGAGAGACACAAATACACTGAGTGTCATCTGGCCTCTATTCTCATTTTTAGCATTATAAAATACAGAATACAGCCTCCAGGGAGACATGGAGAGGAAAGGGAAAGGAGGCAAAGTTCGTGGTTGGGAGAGTGAGTAGACAGGAATGAGGGTTGAAAAGTGTGCCCCATGCACGCAAGACAGGAAGGAAGGAAGTGATGCAACACATCGAGGAATGCAAGAGCCCAGCAATTCCACAGAGATGAGTGTGTGTGGGAGAGCCCGGCCAGAAGGGAGAATGACTGATGGGAAAGCTTCTGGAACAAAGTACAGCTGGGTGGCCTTCGACCCAGAGGGGAAAGGGAGACCTTGGTCTGGAAAGATCTTTCCTGTGTCTGAGGATGAGCATAGAGCCTTCACTGAGTCCTGAGAGGGCATCCGAAAGGAGAGAAATGGAGAGAAGACCTAGTCAGGGGAAGTTTCTGGCCCAAAATTTATATCTGCTCTAACCAAGCAGATTTCTAAATTTTTTGTTGTTTGAACTTCTTGTCTGAACTTGGGAACAAGAACACTGAAGTATAAGTCAAGACCTCTGGGTTCTTTCCCCAGCTTTTCTGTTAATTTGCTGTGGGGCTTTAACTTGTTGGGTTTATTTATCCTCAAAGGCTAGAATATCACTCATAGTGTTAACCATAGAACCTCCCCATTCACACACCTACCATGTGCCCACAAAGAACCTTCCATAGACTGCAAGTTTCATGGGGCCATGGACAGTGTCCATCTTAATCACTACGATATCATCATACTTAGGACAGCGCCAGGCATGTAGTGGATGCTCAACAGACATTTTCTCAATGAATTAAAGTAGATTACAATCCAGAAAGCAGATGAAAGCAGAGTTGTCCTGGCAGGAACAATAGGAAGCCCTACTATTTTCACTGCCCCTTCAGCCCTGGGCTCCCAATAGGAATTCCAGGACTAGGAGGAACCCAGTGTTAAACAGCTAGCTGGACGAGCCGTAGAGGCTTCTCTTCGAGTCTATAATTCTGTGGTCTTTATGCAGCACTTGTTGAGCTGAAAGCATAGAAATTAATCTTGTTTGGTCCAAATTCACCTGACTGAAGGATCACTTTTCCCACTTCACCTTCTAAAGTCCTAGTCTTTAAACCTTCTGGCTGGTACATTTTCCCCTCTCTTTGCGGAAGATGAAAGCATTTTTCCAGACAGGCCTGCTGTGAGTGACTTCAGGGAAATGAATATCTTGGGTCACTTAGGTGCCTCTCATATGGGGAACTCCTTGTATATATTTATTTTTAAGAATAGGGCTGAGAGGTTGACATTTCCATTAGCAGTTGAGTGATTTTTTTTAATTTTTTTAAATAACAACCCTATTCCTCGGTGAGACATGCCTCACATTCCGCTCTCCCCACTGCAGGCAGTTATGTGCTGCTAAATATGCAGTGGAAATGACACATGTCTGGAAACCCAGAAGGAGCACCGTCTCACCACGGCTCGCTCAGTGGTGCACAATGAAAGTGCTGTAAGTGCTTCATTAAGCAAGGTGGACTCCAACATTCTCAAAAGAGAAATTGGTAACATCTCATGCATCTGGCATTTGTCCCTCCAACGCATTCACAGGTGTCTTCTGTTTGAACTCTGGTCACATCTAGAGTAGGATAAAGGCACAGGGTCACCTGACTTTCCAGAAGATCCTGGAACTATCATAGTATCTGCAAGTGAATTGAGGCCAGTAGTTCCTCCTTCAAGGGAGGGGAGCTGTGCAGTCACTTACCACCAAAGGCGTGGATCAGCTCCACGTGCACCTTAGATAATAGTAAGCCCTGTGGACATCTGACTCACTGCATTCAATAGCCTAGCATGCTTTTGTTCTAAAGGATAGATATAATCAGTCTAACTCAAAGTATTTTTCTCCTAATTTAAGTCCACAAAGGAATCCCTACAGGGTATTCTCTCGACCTGTGCAAAGTCCAGTAACAGGATAGAGGTTGTGACATGGAAATTTAAAATGGAATTTGATTTCTAAGGACTATACTACGGGAATACAGATTGGATTAAATGTAAATGAAGTATTAGAACAGCAAGACACGTGTCCTAGTTGAAGAAAGTGTTGCAAGTCTGTGGGCAAAGATTTACCATGCAATCTCAAACATACCAAGAATTTAATCCTTGGCAAAAGATGAGGGTCCTTTTAAGGACAGAAAACAAACATTGCAATTATATTTTAATAAACTCAAATGAGTTTCTTAGTTGGCAATTTATTTTTATTGTTTTGATGGTTTGTGGGTAAATGAGTTAGAAATATGAGACGACTTTCCTTAAAATATACATGTTTTTACTAAGTTAGGGGAAAAGTTTGGTTTTGATTGGTCTTTGAAAGGCTGACAAAGATGTCTATAGCATGTGATAATTTTAAAAATCACCTATTCCTAGTCCAAAAAAGGGAATCCATGTAAGCTTATGTGCTTGCATGGTTCATGTACCAGTATGTAGGGTCAGTAAACAAAAGGGGAGATAGAAGTATCATTATGCAGGCCTGCTGTGGTGGTTCACACCTGTAATCCCAGCACTTTGGAAGGCCAAGGCGGGAGGATCACCTGAGGTTGGGAGTTCGAGACCAGCCTGAGCAACATGGAGAAATCTGTCTCTGCTAAAAATACAAAATTAGCCTGGCGTGGTGGCACATGCCTGTAATCTCAGCTACTCAGGAGGCTGAGGCAGGAGACTGGCTTGAACCTGGGAGATGGAGATTGTAGTGAGCTAAGATCATGCCACTGCACTCCAACCTGTGCAACAGAGCAAGATTCCATCTAAAAAAAAAAAAAAAAAGTTTCATTACCCAGAGAACTGGAAACTTAAAAATAGCTTTAACTACGAAGAGGGAGCAAACTAGGTAAGCAGATCTGAAGAGGAAGGTGATGGGCTGACATTCTATGTAGAGTTCAGTGTGTTACTGAAGAATCTGGACAAGAAATCTTCTTCTTAGTTGTTCTCTGGCTTTCCTTGAACTCCTTTCTCTCTTTCATTCTCCTGCCTCTTTTCTCTAAAGCTGAAGTCACATGCATGCGTGTGCACGTGCGCACACACACACATACACACACACCCCTACCTCTCCCTGCTATCACTCAAGTTATAACAAACAAAGAAACCACTGTAGGAATTTCACATTTCAAAGAGCTTCTTAGAGCGTAGAAAGAGTTAAGGGAGTGTGTACCTTTATACCTGGTTTTCTTTAGCCAAGTAAAGCAAATGGCACACAAGCATACAGCTTTTGTTCTTGATGGCTCCAGTTATCATTTTGGTACCAAATCTAAGATCCAAATGAAATCCAGTTTTGCAATCACCAAATACTGAGAAATGTTTCAGCATGCTTGGCGACCTTAGATTTTGCTGGACCTACAATGGAAAATAAAGTTGTAGGATATTTTTGCATGCTGGTGATTTTTTTCCTTTTGGTTTTTTTTGTTTGTTTTCAATTTTATGGGGGAGAACATGTAAAAATACCTTAACCAATGACTTTAGGTTCTATATTATTGTAAAACAATTTACAATAATTTGCTCTTCACCTCTCTCATGCCTTCTGTGTAATAGACAGAACAATAACTTTTGGAAAAAGAGCTAGGTTCAGTTTCCACTTCTGTCACCAGCTTTATGACCTGAGACCAATTTGTTATCTGAGCTTCAATGTTGTTAATCAATTAAACAGGCATAATGCTAGGTTCTGATGGACACCATAAAGTTTAAAAAAAAAAAAAAAACACTGCAAATGCTTAGCATTCACGTATTCAATGACATATACTAAGTCTCCACAATATGCATGCTCTGAGAACACAGTGCAGAAACAGACAGAAAGCAATGACTCTGCCCTCAGGGAGCAAATATACAAGTGGCAGAAAGATAACAAACTACAAAGAAATCCAAATTAAAATACAGAAATACTTTCAGGTTAGTTCCATGGGCTCTCATGTGTAGACATTAACAGAATTAGTAATTTACAAATATTTGTGTGATGTTTGTCTCATTAATGTTTACATCCCCCACAAAGTGTAGGCTCTGTGATGGCAAAGACCAATATTGTATGCCCATATCTAGCACACAGTAGAAGGGTAATGCACAATTACTGAATAAATGAATGCACGCATTGTGATAAGGGAATAGAAAGATGTAATCGAGAAAACAGAGATGTGGGGAGTAACATTGGTAGGATGGTCTGGAAAGGCCTCTCTAGGATGCTGGAACACTTAAGTGATGAGAAGAAGCCAGCCATGTGGTTGGAAAAAAACAAAACAAAACAGAAGAGAATTCTAAACAGGAAATATCCGGGGCAAAGGCCCTGAGACAGGAAAGACAGTAGAATGCTTAGAGAACGGGAAGGGGCCAGTGTGGCTGATGCAGACACCAGAGACAGAGATTATGGTAAATTTGAGTTTTATTGTAAATATAATACAAGTTCCCCTTCCCTCTTCCACACCCCCCTTGTTTATAGTTTTGTTTTAGTAACAAGATTAACATCCATTGAAAAATTAGGCAACAATACTAGATAATAGACCATTAATTATGAATTGCAAGAAACAGATGTCCACGTTCAGGAGTGGAAGGGATGTGAGCTAATGAAGGCAGGAAAGGTTAACCGACATAAGAGTTTCACTCTAATTCCAGGCACTGCCTCAAAATCATTCCACTATTGGGCACTTGGATCCCCACCATACAGAGTGCCCGGGAATCTAACTGCAACCAGACAAATGTCCTAATTTCACGCTTTGCTGCCTCCTCATTGGCAGATGTCAAAGAAATTTTTCCAAGCCAGACTCTATGATGTCCCCAAAACACTGGGCTCTTTCTCCAGTTTTACTGGTGAACTTCCAGTAAGTCATCTAAGCTGTATTGCTCAGCTTCCACATCCTATGAAGTGTCATCGAGGTCATCTTCCCTGCAGATGTTGTCTTCAGCTTCCCAGACTCACTCTGTAGACCAGTATGTGCCAACTCCTCTCTGCCTTGCAAAATGGTTCCAATTAAGCCACTGCTCCCACTTTCCTCCTTCAGAGCCTGAGGCTGGAAAGTTCTGCTGTTTTCTCAAGTTTAGTGGTTGACATCTATTGTGTCTGGCTGCTCTTTGACTCCACTTTTGAATTTATTTCTTTGGTTTTGGGAAATTCTGTCCTTCCTCTTCTTCCTGCCTTGACTATATGGGAAATCTGTCTCAGCTTGGCCTAGCATTCAGATCACTATTTAGCCCAGTGCCCAGCACCTAATGTCATGACTTACTTATAGAAGATTATTGATATATGTACTAAATAAGAAGTTAGGCAGCAACGCCTACTGTCAGCCCTTTTCAGTTCTTCCTTGAGCAAGAAGCTTGATTCTACTTTTTCTTACCCTAACAGAAGGGACATTAGATTTTGGTAGGGAAAACTTGTCTAAAAGTTCATAAATATCTTGTCCAGACCTATCTTTGAAATATAGGAAATAATAATATGTAAAGGGGACTTTTTAAACACATTCTACTTATTTAAAATGATACCTAAAATGTCCATTAAGTAACATTGAAAATACCTACACTGGAGCAGGGCGTGGTGGCTCACCCCTGTAATCCCAGCTACTTGAAAGGCTGAAGCGGGAGGATAGCTTGAGAACAGCAATGCAAGACCAGCCTGAGTAACATAGAGGAACTTGTCTCAAAAGATAAAAAAGAAATTAAAAAAAAAATTAGCAGAGCATGTTAGCATGCCCCTGTAGTCCCAGCTGCTCAGGAGGTTGAGTCAGGAGGATTGCTTGAGCCCAGGAGTTCGAGGCTACAGTGAGCTATTAAGATGTTTGCACCATTTCACTCCAGCCTGCACGACAGGGTAAAATCCTGTTTCTTTCTCTCTCTCGTTTTGTTTTGTATTGTTTTTCTGAGACAAGGTCTCACTCCGTCGCCCAGGCTGGAGTGCAGTGGTATAATTAAGGCTCACTGCAGCCTCAACCTCCCTGGCTCAGGTGATCCTCCTACCTCAACCTCCTGAGCAGCTGGTACTACAGGCACATGCCAACACACCCAGCTACTTTTTGTATGTTTTTGTAGAGACAGGGTTTCGCCATGTTGCCCAAGCTGGACTTGAACTCCTGAGCTCAAACATTCTGCCCGCCTCAACCTCCCCAAGTATTGAGATCGCAGGCATGAGCCGCTGCAGCCAGCCAATATTGTCTCTTTAAGAAAAGGAAAATACTTGTTTTCTAATATTAAGGTGAAAAAGAAAAAAAAAAAATAATGTGTATAAAACATGAGCCCAGCCATGCAAAACAATTAGCATTGAAAGAAGGAAACAAACCAAACTGTTGACAATGTTTGTATGTGGGTAGTAAGATTATGAATTTTATTTTTTATTTTTTTCATTGTTTTCTACATTTCATATTTTCTAAGACATGGATTACTTGTATGATCAGAAAATTACATTATTTATAAAAGAAAAAAAAATCACACTATGCAACCAAAAAACACAGAGTAAGTCTTTCCTTGCTGATTCTCAGTGGTTCTCAACCTCCAGCATATTAGGATTAACTGGAGAATTTATAACAATCCCAATGCCCAAGCCCAGCGCTGTATCAATTAAATCAGAAACAGAAACCCAGGCATCAGTATTTTAAGTTTCCCAGGTGATGTCAATGTGCAGCCATGGTTAAGAACTACTAGTAGAGGAAATGGGTAGCTTAGATCAATGGTTTGCAACCCTGGCTACAGTGATAATCTCGTGGGGGGCTTTTATAATACCAATATATGCTCCCTAATACATTTCTGATTTCAGTTGGTTTGCAGTGAGGCCCTGGCAGTGGTAGATATTAAATTTCTCCATGTGATTCTAATGTGCAGGCTGGTCTATTGAGTGTTCGTTCTGTGTAGAGCTCTGTACTGAGTGTTTTATGTACATTACCTTATTTAATTCTCAAAATAGTACAACCAGGCAGGTATTATCTTCATTTTACAGAAGAGGAAACTAGAACTCAGACACATGAAATTAATGTCTCAAGGAAACTCAGCTTGCTTGAACCCAGCTTGTCTGTCTCCTGTGGGGATAGGCAAAGAAAGAATTCTACCCAGTTGTGTGGAAAGCTTTATAAATACTATAATGCGGAATCCAACATACTCACTTTTAAAATGTCGATGGAGTAGCTCTTTATAAATCTTATTAACAAGTGTCTCATTTCTGTCAAACCCTGTCAAGTGTAAATGCATCTGCAATATCCTGAACATTTATGATTTTCATTCCATAATGGCCTGAATAGCATGAGAACTTAAATAACTTCCAACCTGTTCAAAGTTACAATCACATCTCATCGCTTAACTTTATGACACCACCCAACTTCTCTGGTGAAATCATAGTATGGTTCCTATTCATTTTATTTTATATCATTTTATGTCATTATTATATATAACAAGCAATTAAGTATACTTTGAAAATTCCTTAAATGATTTTGCAAGATTTCTTCAGTAACTGGAAGCATTCTTGGATGTCATGAAACTACCCTTATGATTGCTGTTGTAGACAAATGTCACATCACTGGATTTGTGGAGTTTCCTTTCCAATGCATCGTTTAGATTGAGCTGTACTTTGCTAAACCAGCTTAAAGTAAACCCCACCTCTTCCAATAGTCAAGATTCCCACTAACCTCAAGCAGAGCCGCAGGTGCATATTATTAGCAGAACTGGACTCTTTTCACTTATAATTTGAGTCCCAAGTCTTTTGAAGTAAGACCCATTTGCCCAGATTTGTATAGCATTACCTGAGCGTAACATTACCCAACAAAGCCAAATTGATGGGTTAAGGATACAAATAAGGAATTCCGAATCAGCTTATGAGGCAGGTTTTGTGAGAGAGGAGAGAGAACACTGCTTAGAAAAAAAAGTTTGTAGGATGGGTGCGGTGGCTCACGCCTGTAATCCCAGCAATTTGGGAGGCCGAGGCACTGGATCACGAGGTCAGGAGATCGAGACCATCCTGGCTAACACGGTGAAACCCCATCTCTACTAAAAATACGAAAAAATTAGCCGGGCGTGGTGGCGGGCACCTGTAGTCTCAGCTACCTGGGAGGCTGAGGCAGGAGAATGGCGTGAACCCGGGACGCGGAGCTTGCAGTGAGCCTAGATCGCGCCACTGCACTCCAGCGTGGGCGACAGAGCAAGACTCCACCTCAAAGAAAAAAAGTTTGTAACTGTCTTGCTTTTGCAGAATAAAATAGGCATTACTTTTCAAATAGTGTTGCCTAGGGATACCTTCCAGCATTCACAAACATGCTATGTAACATAGTCTGATTTTTAATAACTTTGTCACTGAGTATATACCTAAAGAGAAAGTAAAGAAAATGGCCATCTCTAGTGCTTGGGTTCAAGTAACAGGACAATTTTTTCTACACATCTCTTCTTTTCCATTTCCTTTATCTTTGTTAGCATTTTTTTTTGGCTCCTTCCTTAGCAGAAATGTTATATTTTTGAGGGTACTAGAAAACTTTCGTGATGGGGTTATTTAAGAAAGACAAACTTTAATAGATAAAATGGGAAAATATTTTAATGTATATTTTTTAAAAGAAAAAAAAACTTTTCTTACATTTCCTTCCCCTACTGTAGACTAGAAAAATACTAGGTGGCAAATTAATAATCGCCTATGCAGTTAAGCAGCACAAAACTGAAAATACTTAGCCAGAGTAATCAAGCACTTTTTTTGGACTAAATGCAAGTCAAAGGCCATCCTCCACTCTTCTACCCAGAGAGCATATACCCTTGGCAGTCTCACTAACCTGGGGGTGACAAAACGAGTATTTTGAAATCAACATCCAATTTAGTGCTTTCGTGGTTCTTCAGGTTGCTTATTCATAAGTGAAAACATTTTGTATGTGTATTTTTATGCGTGTTTGTAGGATGGAAAAGAAGCTTGCTCTGATATAATTGGTTTTAGTTAATTAAGTAAGAATCTCTGACTTACAGCTATTTTTTTTCCAGAAAAACTTACGGTGAATAGGAAAATATTTGTTATAAAGCAAAACAGAATAGCAGGATTAGCCTTTCAACTTTTTGTCTGCAGGTTTTCAGAAAATTTTCATCTCTTTTGAAGATAATACCCTAATTTTATACAGTTTTATCTATCAATTTAAAATTTAAATTAAGTGAATAAAGACCATACCTAATGTATATACATATATACAGGCATTTTTGAAAATCTGTACCATAGGCAGAATTTATATTTTTTGTGATCAAGAGGCTCTCTTCTAATTTCTTCCAAGAAATTTTACATGTTCAGAAAACTGCAAAATTTCTAATATGTTAGTAATTCTGGATATTCACACAGCATTGAAAAAAATAGGTGTCTTCATCCATCTGGATTTTCATAAGAGTTCAACATATCTATTGCAAACATATCTCAACTACTGTAATTCTCAAGGAAGAAAACCTGAAGATGAAAAGAATTGGGATTTGACTCATGAAAAGAGAATTCACCACTCTTCTTGTAATTTCTTGAAACTGTGTTCAGAATTTCACAACCCTTGCTAAACCATAAACAAAGGGTCACATGCAGTAAAACAGCAGAAACCCAGTAAGAATGTGCCAGAGTTCAGAGAACAATTACCCCAGGCTTAACTTCACTGACCTTTAATCTGTTTGGGTCATCAGTGCTCTTCTATATAAAGCATCTCACAACGTGCTGGGGCTCAGGCCTGGCAGAGCTCTGCAAGCTGGAGTCTTAGCAGCAGAAGTCAAACTGGGGTAAATTTGTCCAAAGACATATAAAACAGTTTTCTCTGACATGGTGCATCTGAAACACATAGGTGTCAAACAGTGAATTTGGATGTAATCTCTGGAGCCAGGGCAGGACTTTTCTTTCAGTTTGACAGACTCTCACTCTGTTGCCCAGGCTGGAGTGCAGTGGTACAATCTTGGCTCACTGCAGCCTCTACCTCCCAGGTTCAAGCGATTCCTGGGCCTTGGCCTCACGAGTAGCTGAGATTACAGGCACACATCACCATGCCCCACTAATTTTTTTGTATTTTTAGTAGAAATGGGGTTTTGTTATATGGGCTAGGCTGGTCTCAAACTCCTGGCCTCAAGTGATCCGCCTGCCTCAGCCCCCCTAAGTGTTGGGATTACAGGCGTGAATCACCTGGCCAGCAGGGCAGGACTTTCCTAAGGCTTCTCTGAACTCGTACTTGTAAATCCTCTACCCTACAAGACTTTCTGCAACCCTAACACTAACATCTTAAGGGTGAAGTAAAAAAATAATAATAAATAAATAAATAATAAAAAATAAAAAAATAATAAAAAAAAGAGTGAAGTGTGGTCCAGGAATAGAAACAGCATTGATCAGGAAGTACGGAGACCCCAATTCCTGTTATTGATGTGTAATTTATTAGCCACATGGCTTTCAGAAATGAAATTTGGAAATCATTTATTAAAGCCCTAGACCATGGGCTAGCAACAGTGGAGGCCAATTGCTGACTTCAAGAAGCTCGTAATTTAATGTAGAATGTAAATTAGCACAGATTATTATGATACAATTTAAGAAGTATTATGCAATCATTTGGAAAAATTCTAAGGAGACAGAAAGAAAGGAATTACCAATTCTCTTTGTGGGTGTGGAAGCAGAAATGTCTACATAGGCTTCAGGTGGGACCTGAAAAGATAATTGGCAAGGAATTTCGTATGGTAAAAAATACATGGAATAGGATAAAGGACAATTTTGTTAAAGTATCAATTGAGGCAAACTGTAAACGGCTTTGAATATCTTTCTGAGGAATGTGGACAACTTATGCTATTTAAGACTAAATTTCCTCATCTTTAAATAAAGGAATTGGACTGGATGACTTCTGAGTTCATGACCAGGTCTAAAAGTCTAAATAAGGTTACATTCAAAGTTCAAGAGGAAATATAGAAGTTGGCCAAATGCTATCAATTCCTGTAAAGATAATGCCAAGTCAGTGGTTATTATTCGAATTAAACTCCCCTGCATCATCAAAAAAGTACTTAACTAAAAATAAAAAATAAGATTTTTTTTTTTTTTTTTTTTTTTTTGAGATGGAGTCTTGCTCTGTCACTCAGGCTGCAGTGCAGTGGCGCGATCCCGGCTCACTGCAACCTCCGCCTCCTGAGTTCATGCCATTCTCCTGCCTCTGCCTCCTGAGTAGCTGGGACTACAGGTGCCCGCCACTATGCCTGGCTAATTTTTTTGAATTTTTTTTTTAGTAGAGACGGGGTTTCACCATGTTAGCCAAGATGGTCTCGATCTCCTGACCTCATGATCTGCCCACCTTAGCCTCCCAAAGTGCTGGGATTACAGGTGTGAGCCACCATGCTGAGCCAAAAATAAGATTTTTGAAAATGAATCAGTACAACTTTGTGTTAGAGATGCCAAAAAATATACTTTCCAGGACTTCAAGTTGAATTACTTCAAATGTTGTTCTACAGTGATTGTGCAATGGAATGAACTGGGTCCTTGCAAAATTCATATATTGAAGCCCTAACCCCAGATGTAATTGTTTTTGCTGTAAGGAAGTAATTCATATTAAATGAGCTGAGAAGGTGGGGTCCTGATCTGATAGGATTCTTGTCCTTATAAGAAGAGCCACCAGAGAGGGGCCACCTGCAAGCCAGGAGGAGAACCCTCACGAGAAGCAGAACCCTGCCAGACCTTGATCTGAAACTTCCAGTTTCCAGAACTGTGAGAAATAAATTTCTGTTGTTTTAGTCACGTAGTGCTTGTTATTTTGTCATGGCAGCCTGAGCTGGTGTGAGATTACAGGCGCACATCACCATGCCTGGATAATTTGTTTATATTTTTAGTAGAAATGGGGTTTCGTTATATTGGCTAGGCTGGTCTCAAACTCCTGGCCTCAAGTGAGCCACCTGCCTTAGCCCCCCTAGGTGTTGGGATTACAGGTGTGAATCCCAACTGAGCTGACTAATACAGATAATAAGTTTTAGTTTAAGTAACAAAGTCTATTAAAAATTTGATCGTAATATTTAGACTATTTGAATAATTAATTCTTTATGGTATATATTGTGCTCTAAAAAATGATGTATTTTTTAATTGATAGTGCAGTAAGATGATTATGACTATAACTCTCCCAATAATGTTTCATTATTTCATTAGAAATGAGAACATTCATTGATTTAAACTTTTTTCTTCCTTTTTCTTTTTTTTTTTTTTTTGAGCCAGTGTCTCACTCTGTCATCCAGGCTGGAGTGCAGTGGTATTCTCGGCCCGCTGCAGCCTCAATATCAGTATCCCAGGCTCAAGCAATCCTCCCATCTCAGCTTCCCCAACAGCTGGGATTACAGGCATGTACCACCATGCCCAGCTAATTTTTTTTTTTATTTTTTGTAGAGATGGGGTTTTACCATGTTGCTCAGGCTGGTCTTGAACTCCTGTGCTCAAGCAATCCACCCACTTCGGCCTCCCAAAGTGCTGGGATTACAGATGTGAGCCACCACACCTGACCCGATTTAAAATTTTCATTTTTGCACATAGCTGAACTTTACCAATGAGCTAAGTATTAGTGGCATTCCGAAAAGTGAAATGTGCTAATGAGCTTGATGCGTGAATGCATTTTAACCAAACAAGTTCAGTTATTTTTTTAACTTCTAAAGACATTCTATTTATTTCCATGCCCATACTAAAATATTTTATAATTATTTTGTCATTCACTCTACATAAATCCTCTCAGCACCTAGTCGTTGCCACACACACACTGTTAGGCCCTGGAAATAACTAAGGCGAGGAGGATAGTCTCATTCCCTGCTTTCACCAAGCTCAAAGTCAAGCCTGTAAGACAATAAAACTAGAAGTCACAGACAATAAAGTATATTACAGGCCAAGACAGAAGTACAAATTTCTGCAGGAGTTTTGGCTAGTTAGAAGGCCATGAAAGGCTTCCTAGAAAAAGTCATTTTAGCAAAGCCTGGAAAAAGGTTGGCATATGTAAGATCTTAGCAACTATGTGAAATGAACAAATATTGATCAATAGGAATGAGCCAAGCAAAGACATGGGGCAGGGTAAACACTAGGTTTGAAGGTCTGAAGGGCAAAACCACAGCTGATTACAGAAAAGAAAAAAAAAAAGTTCAGTATGTCTGGATGGCAGAGTCCAAAGGAGTGGAAATGTGAAGAAAGTCAGTGGACCCACAGAAGGAACCCATCAGCCTCTTTCACTTTCAACCATCACTGAATAAATCAAGAACTATGCCATTGACTCATAGTGTGGCACGTTACAAAGTATTTGAGAAAAATCTTTTTTTTTTTTTTTCCAGACGAAGTCTCACTCTTGTCCCCCAGGCTGGAGTGCAGTGGCACAATCTCAGCTCACTGCAACCTCTGCCTCCCGGGTTCAAGCAATTCTCCTGCCTCAGCCTCCCAAATAGCTGGGTTTACAGGCACCTGCCAACAGGCCTGGCTAACTTTTATATTTTAATTAGAGACAGGGTTTCACCATGTTGGCCAGGCTGGTCTTGAATTCCTGACCTCAGGTGAGCCGCCCGTCTCTGCCTCCCAAAGTGCTGGGATTACAGACATGAGCCACCCGCGCCTGGCCTGTTGTTGTTTTAAGAACACAAACAGTGAAGTCTTTTACAGATATTATAGGTTACAAATTTCTTTGATTATAACATTCACTGCCACAGAACTAATCATATTCTATATTCTCTTCAAAACCACACTCATTCCCACTCTAGTCATCATTACTCAATGGGGCAACCAACCAGAACGCCTGGCCTGTTGTTGTTTTAAGAACACAAACAGTGAAGTCTTTTACAGATATTATAGGAATTCAAACACATTTTCTCCTTCTGACTCAGAGGAAATGCCACATATGTAGTTGAGGGAAAAAAAAATCTTTAGATGATCTAAAACTTTTAATCAAAATGTCCACCTCCATTTCCTCTCCCTGGGTGTTCGTCTTGCAAGAAATGGGCAGGGCAGGCCTCACCTGGGTTTAACTTCTCTAACCTGCCTCATTTGCAGACAAGAGGAAAGCCACGTATAGCCACCTTTCAGCCACCTTTCAGGTTAATTATGTTACTAAGAAAAACTAAGGAAGCAGAGTAACATCATCTGGGACTATATATATATGGTATTTTAAAATAAAAAGGGCTAAGATTCATAAAAAATTGATTTATGGTAGGGCTTTGCTTGTTAGTGTTTTACTAAGATGGATTTTTTTTAGTGTATTTCCACATTGTAATTTCAGATTTTGTTTATCCTCTCCACAGAATGAGGTTATTACTTGGGTATTTTAAAATACTCGTGTTCCTGGTAGGTGTGCATTCAGTATTGTAAATGTTTTGATCACTAGTTTAATTTATATTTTCCTTAATCACTGTTCTCACAGTTGCTTAACGATTCTTCCTCTCCAAAAAAACAGTGTATTATGCATATTAACATAATAATGACTGAGTTAATCTATTATTTTTATACCTTAAAAGTAAATTCAGGAGTCTAAGTAGCCCCCTCTGTAGTCCCAGTTACTAAGGAAGCTGAGGTGGGAAGATCACTTGAGCTAGGAATTTGAGGCCAGCCTGGGCAACATAGGGAGGCCCTGTCTCTACAAAAAATAAAAAATGAGTCAGGCATGGTGGTGCATGCCTGTAGTCCCAGCTACTTGCGAGGCCGAGGTGGGAGGACTGCTTGAGCCCAGGAGGTCAAGGCTACAGTAAGCTGTGATCACCCCACTGCAGTCCAGCTGAGTGACAGAGCAAGACCCTGTCTCAAGAGAAAGAAAGACCCCATCTCGTAAAAAAATACAAAATAAAATAATACATTTAAATTTAAAAAATAAAAGCAAATGCACTTATGAAGCTGAATGGATCAAAGGCTCTCCCTTTACTTCCTGTTGCTTTTGCTGACTTTCTATGCATGTGCATGTGACGGTGAGGCCGAGAGGGCCGTGCGTGTGTTCGGAACAAGCGCATCCACGTGCACCATGTGGCTGCCAACAAGGATCACAATGACTGATGCTTTCATTGAACAGTGTCTTGTAAACAGTTGTCTTAACTCAGAAGCTACCCCCAAAAGCTACATTTTAAAAATAAATGAATGTAAACAAGACATAAATGTTATTTTAAATAGAGACATATGGCTGGGCACCGTGGCTCATGCCTGTAATCCCAGCACTTTGGGAGGCCAAGGCGGGCAGATCACCTGAGGTCAGCAGTTCGAGACCAGCCTGGCCAACATGGTGAAACACCGTCTCTATGTTACTGCATTAATGGATATGTTATTATATTCATGACAATTAATTTCATTTAAAAAAATCAAATTGTTGTGATAGAAACCATTGAAATTGGTTTCCTTTGGAATTTCTTTTGAGAAGTGTGTCAGAACATAGACATCCAGGGAATTATTATTTTTCTTAATCAGGACTTGGCAGACTTTTTCTATAAAGGATCAGATAGTGAATATTTTAAGTCTGTGGGCTCTCCAGTCTCTGTCCCACGTATTCAATTCTGCTGTTGTAGTGCAGACGTCACATAAACAATACATAAACAAACCAATGTACATGGATGTGTTCCAGTGGACACTATGTGTTCTTGTGGACACTATGATTTCTATTTTCTGTGATTTTTATGGGTCACAATATATTCTGTCACTTTTTTTTTCCAAACATCCAAAAAATGTAGTTCACAAGATATATCAAAACTGGGGAAATGGCAGATTTGGCTGAAGGCATATTTGCAATCCTTTTCTAAGTAATTATATAGGAAAACTAACATTGCAATGACAGTGTAGCATATCACCAGTGTGAAGTCCATGAACTTCGGACTGAATCCCAACTGTTTCCTAGTTTGTGACATTAGTTACTTAAATTCTTTGTGCTTCAGTGTCTTCATCTATAACATGAGGATAATAATCCTTTTCCCCTTGGTCTATTGTAGGGATAAATGAATCAATTCATATAAAGCACTTAGGACTGTGCTTGTATAGAACAGATACTATACACATGTTTGCTGAATAAATAGCCTCGTTATTTGAAAATATTTAGAAAGAATTTTGAAGCCAATTTACAAACCATGGAAGAAAACCTTATTACATGAGAGTCCTCTACCTTATTCATGAAAACTGTCCCTAAATTAGGCTATTTCAAAAATCCAAATCAAAACCAAGCATCTGTATCAAAAGTCTACTTCAGAAAGTCTACTTCATGAATTTCATCAGAGATTTGAGTGTTTAAAAATATAAATATATTCAAAAGGACAAATATTTCAAAACAAGATCTCAAAAGAATGAGTATTATACTTGAAAACAATTTTCAAGAGCGGCTTCTATGCAAGGTGTGAGCAATAGAATCACTAAAGGCTACCACCTTCCAAGCTGACTATTCTAATATGAACAATTTCCATTTAGAAACAAACCTTCTGGTGTTTCTCTTTATATTTATTTATTTATTTATTTTTTAAGATCGAGTCTTGCTCCATGGCCCAGGCTGGAGTGCAGTGGTGCCATCTAGGCTCACTGCAACCTCCGCCTCCCTGGTTCAAGCGATTTTCCTGCCTCAACCACCCAAGTACCTGTCATTACAGGTGGCCACCACCACGCCCGGCTAATTTTTGTATTTTTAGTAGAGACAGGATTTGGCCATGTTGGCCTGGCTGGTTTCAAACTCCTGACCTCAAGCGATCCACCTGCCTCGGCTTTCCAAAGTGCTGAGATTACAGACGTGAGCCACCACGCCTGGCCTGGTGTTTTTCTTTATACTTAGCACTTCATACTTTCACATAAGGAGCTTATAGTCTTGGAAAAGAGATAGAGCAAATACACAAGAAAAACTTCAACCACATGCAGTAAATGACAAAGAACAAAAAAAAAAATGATAAACCTGAGGTGTTATGGAAGAACGCTAAATGATATCGAGATAAGGGAGTTATAAAAATCTATCGTTAGGGTATGTTTAAAAGTGGGCCTTAAAAGAAGGAAATATATTTTGTAAGAAGAAGGAATAGCTGTGGCATGTATTATTTTTGTCCTCTAAGCACTTCAGGTAATAGATCCAGCCTCTGGCCACAGAGGCGTCATTTGATCTGGCCAGGATCATCTTAATGTCACTAAAATTCTTCAGACTCATCAAGAAAGACTATTTTAGTTTCTGATCACAGACTAAAGGACTTAATTCCCAATATGTCTCCAGCCATATCCCCCATTGTATGGAAAAGCTGGTCTCAGAGACTGAAGTCGGAGGAAAAAGAGAGAGTCCATATGCAGCTGGATCCAGTCATCCTGTGGCTACATTCACCTCCAAACCCATAATATCTAAAGTGCAACTCACTTTCTTTTTCCTCCTCATGTCTCCCCACAAGATACTTGCCCCTTTTCTAGATTCTCCTTCCTGTTGCCTAATCTAGCAATTCACTTGGATTGATCACTTATACTAGAATTTGTTCAGCTTTCGTTTACCCTCCTTACCTCACCCAACACCATCAGCAACAAATCCTTTCGTGTTAGGGACTTTCCTTATATACCTGGTGAGCTCTGGCTATATGTTTCTATGTAAAGATAAGTCACTGAAAATTGACTAATGCTTGTGTTGAAGTGGGGCTGGAAGGGAACACTCTAAAACGTGTTTCCTGGTGGCTGGTGATCTGGTTGAGACCCAGCTCTGTTTGAGAAGTTTCTCAAATGCTCTGTGAAAGAGCAAGTGAAAGGTTTGTGTTACTTCTGTGTCTTCCTGTTACCTTTGCTTCCATTTTTTACTTTATGTATTCCGTTTTTTTCTTTCTTTCTTCCATTTTCGCTATAATGTGTTTTGAGAGGGCTCTAAGATAGGTGAATCTGCTTATTCTGTGATTTCTAACCAGAAGGACCTAAACACTTTTTACATCTAAAGCCATACCCTCCATTCCTATTAACATATAACGATGGTCTTCAAAAGGTCTTCATCATCTTTCCTAGGGACTCGTGCAACAACCTTCTTAATGGTATTGCACTGATATTTCCCCCATTGCACCTCATCCTGCCCTCAGCTCTGCCCAACATCCTTGGGTCCACAACCTATCTGATTAGTGTCTCCAGAGAGTAAACTTCCTGTCTCCTGTTGAATTGGCGGACAGGAAATCGACTGTGCAGCCTGGGGTTGGAGATCTACGAATCTTAGTGCTACATATAAAGTCACTTCTCTTTTCATCTCCCTATGCCTGTCACCACCTTCCAGAGCGGCTGCTGCCTCCAATTTCTGAGCACTTTCCGTTTTCCAGCTCAAAGAATATGCTTCCCTCTTACTGACTTCCCATCCCCACTGCCCTCCTCAAGAAGGTTGAGAATACAGCTCTCTGCAGCCTTTAGCATAGCTGCCAACAGTCCACCTACTTTCCAGAGAAATAATGCTATTGATATGGTTTGCATTACATCTGTGTCTTCCTGTTACCTTCGCTTCCATTTTTTTCTCATGTATTCATTTTCTTTCTTTCTTCCTTCTTCACTATAATGTGTTTTGAGAGGGCTTTAAGATAGGTGAATCTGCTTCTTCTGTGATTTTCTAACCAGAAGGACCTAAACACTTTACATTTAAAACCATGCCCTCCATTCCTATTAATATTCTAAAGATGGTCGTCAAAAAGTGTTCATCATCTTTCTTATGGACTCTAGCAACAACCTTCTAACTGGTATCCTTTCCAGTTTGTCATCCCTAAATCTACTTCCAACACATTTCCCAAATCATCCATCCAAAATGCAAATCTCTCAATGTCACATGTTTAAATTTCAGTAGGACCCTATCCTCTAAAGAATAATATTTACCTTGTGTGTGGCTCATGGCCCTGAATGAGCTGGCACCGCCTATATCACTAGTTTAGTTTTTTACCGCTTGCCCCATAATATATCTGAAACTCCAGCAACATGGAACTTCTCATGCCCAACCTTCAACCACACACATATTACTCACACGGAAGCCAGGCTGTATCCCACCTCCTGGCACAAATACCCTTTTTCTCTCCCTCCACATATACACAAGATGATAAAATCCCCTGCAAGTGGTATCTGGTATCTTCTCCAGGAAGTTTGTTTGTTTATTTGTTTGTTTGTTTGTTTTTGAGATGGAGTCTTGCTCTGTCGCCCAGGCTGGAGTGCAGTGGCGTGATCTCGGCTGACTGCAAGCTATGTCTCCCGGGTTCACGCCATTCTCCTGCCTCCACCTCCCAAGTAGCTGGGACTACAGGTGCCTGCCACCATGCCCGGCTAATTTTTTATATTTTTAGTAGAGATGGGGTTTCACTGTGTTAGCCAGGATGGTCTCGATATCCTGACCTTGTGATCCACCTGCCTTGGACTCACAAAGCCAGGAAGCATGTTTTAATGCCCTTTCCCTGGAAGATTAAGGGCCTCTACTCTGTATTCTTATAAAAAGCACCTTACCTATACTTACTTCATATGTTGAAATGAGTTATTCATGCTTCTGTGCCCATATAGGAGAGAGACTGTGACCTGTCCATCTTTCCCAATTTGTTTATGGCCCAGGCATCCTGGAAGTGACCAGAAAAAAACTACAGCCACTTTTCTTTATCTTTCAACTCCATCTTCTGGTGCCTAGGACTATCCTCTAACCCTCAAACTAATTCAAGTCTTAAATATACACAGGAAGAATGATCATTATATGGAATGGGCTGTATGTGGCAGAGGAGAGGTTAAATTCCCAAGCCTGCCCCTCTCTCATGCCCCATCCCCGACACCACTACTCAAGGAGTGTCCAGCCCTGCTGCTCCCGTCCTCCAGCACCTGCACATCCTTGAGCTCTAGCGATGATATGTTTAGGGCTCTCTGTGTCAGGTGGCCCTCAGAAATGTAGATAAAACTTTATTCATCACCATTATTACTGAATGTGGTTTTGTTTTTCAAAAAGCAAGATAGAGATATGGACTAGAAAGATTGATTTCATAGCCACATACTTGTTTCTCTCTGTTTTCCAAAATGATTAGAAAATACCCAAAACAGTATACATTAGTCCCCCATTTTCCAAAGGGGAACATATTCCGTGACCCACAGTGGGTGCCTGAAACTACGGATAGTACCAAACCCTGTGTATACTATGTTTCCTCCTATACATACATCATATGATAAAGTTTAGTTTATAATTAGGCACAGCAAGAGATTAACAATAGTAACTAATAATAAAACAATTATAACAAGATGCTGTAATAAAAGTTATAGGAATGTGGACTCTCTCTCAGAATATCTTGACTGTACTCACTATTTTCAGACCACGGTTGACCACAGGTAACTGAAACCGGAGAAAGTGAAACCATGGATAAATGGGGACTGCTGTTGTCTGGGTTTTCATATATATCCTCCTGTTTTGGATCCAAGAGGAGATAGAACCTTGTCAGAAATATCTGCTACAGTGGGAAAAGGGAAGCAAGAGAGCCAATAACAGGGGCTTGAAATAAAAAGGAGACTGACAAAGGGGGGTTTTCATTGGCAAGCCCACTCCAGCCCTCTGTCACTTTCTCTGGACACATCCCCGGCCTGGACAATGAGATGTGTTCCTTTACATTCGAGGAACTATGCTTGCTTTGCCATCAAGTTCTTGTGGCACCTGCCGCTCAAGTTACAAAGAACTAGAACAATTAAACTTTACATATGTGATGGTTTAAAATAGACTTTGTGAACAGACTTGGCAATCTAGCTACCATGGTAGTTTTTGCCGTCTGTGAGAAAATGATTTCAGAGTTCCAAAGAGCAGATTTGAAAGTGAACATTCGGACGACAACTTGTTTGCAAATTCAGACTAGCCTACGTTTCGTTCCTGGTGCTAACTGGAAAATATTAGACTACAATTATGAACAAATGTTTTTCCCTCCAAATTAGCAGACTTGAAATATGGTTAATAACCTTAGCTGAATGGAGAAAGCCTCTTCTGACACGACTGTGAATCCCTTTACATCAAAAAATTGTGTATACTCAAACTTTAACCAAGTTGTAGAGACAGGTGACATAATATTAACCAAGGTTAAGGCTATCTAATCCCAAAGTGCAAAACTCAAGTAAGTAATAATTTCTGAAGAGCTTTTCTCATATCTGAAATTCTTATAAAGTCATTTCCTAATGTATTGACAAGTATCTAGCTTATGAAACCTGAAACGACAAATGCACAGTGCAAAACTTACAAATCACAAAGTAGCTTACAAAACTTCCAGTAACAAAGTTTTCTAATTTTTCTATGAACAATGCCTTAAACACAACTACCAAAGGTTTATGAGCCTCCCTAAGATAAAATAAAAACTACCTTTTTTATGCTTAATTGTTCTTGCATTCAAAAGCGTGAATGGCCAGATGCAGCGGCTGATGCCTGTAATCTCAGCACTTTCAGAGGCCACAGAGAGTGGATCACTTCAGGTCAGGAGTTTGAGACCAGCCTGGCCAACATGGTGAAACCCCATCTCTACCAAAAACATAAAAAATGAGCCAGGCGTGGTGGCAGGTGCCTGTAATCCCAGCTACTCGGGAGGCTGAGGCAGGAGGACCGCTTGAAGCCGGGAGGCAGACAGAGGTTGCAGTGAACTGAGATGGTACCACTGCACTCCAATCTGGGTGATACAGCAAGACTCCATCTCCAAAAAAAAAAAAAAAAAAAAAAAGTGTGAGTGAAAAATTTCAGATAATCGTCGATTAACCACATATGCTCAGTATCTCTTCCAAGAGATCCCTGGGACTCCCTCAGCCCCAAATGAACTGGCTCCTGGCTCCTTCCCTCCCTCATTGCCACTCCCAGGTAACCTTTATCTATTGATTCAAGGAGAATCATTTTCTTTACGCTCACTGCAATGGTGACTCTCTGTTTTCACTATAGGGGAATTGAATCGACTCTCTTCTTCATTCTCAAGTTGCTTGTTATTACAATAACTCCTGACATTTTAGGTGGAATACATGACAGTTGGGGAAGGAGAAACAGTTTTACAAGTCCCATCCCTAAAGCTTCCTCTATATTCCTCATATAGAATTCAATTCTATATGAATTTCTTCCACCAGCCAACCATATCACACGTGGACAAATGAGTCTCCACCCAAAGTATTACAATCCTCGTCTGCAAAATAAGTATGTGTGTGGCGGGGCCAGGGAAGGGACTCACCCTAAAATTCATTTTCTACTTCACTATCCTGGAATTATATGATTCTATGCACCTCTTCAGTCTTCCAGAATAACTTGTTTTTATCGTTCCCCTTTATCCCCTCATTATCCAATTTGATTAAATAATCAAACAATTAGAAGTTGACTAAACTTATTAGGTTAAAAGTGTGCACACAATTAGTTTTTGTTTTCCTTTCACACTACATGCAAATTATACTTAATTACAAAGTGAAACCCACTGTCGTTATTGCTCTCTTTCCTTTCATTCTGAGCCACAAGGAAAAAAATCTAAATATTGTTACACACACGTGCTTTCCTAATCGTTCAGTCTATCTTGTGTTATAATCACTGTCATCATCATAATAGTGATAGAGACCTCGTGGCTAGCCTTATGCACCACTTCATCAGTAACCATTCCTACCAGCCTTTTTAGAGAACTCATTTGCGGGTGCTGCTTTGTGGCAAAACACCAAAAGCCACTTGTCACTCCGTACTCTGTATTCTACTTATTTAGTAGAACTTTCCCTGTAGATTGAAAGTATTTTGTTTTGTTTTGTTTTTTTGAGATGGAGTTTCACTCTTGTTGCCCAGGCTAGAGTGCAACGGCGTGATCTCGGCTCACTGCAACCTCCACCTCCCGGGTTCAAGCTATTCTCCTGCCTCAGCCTCCCAAGTAGCTGGGATTACAGGCATGTGCCACCATGCCCGGCTAATTTTGTATTTTTAGTAGGGACAAAGTTTCACCATGTTGGTCAGGCTGGTCTCAAACTCCTGATCTTAGGTGATCCCTCTGCCTCAGCCTCCCAAAGTGCTGGGATTACAGGTATGAACCACCACGGCCAGGCTGATTGAAAGTATTTTAAAGGTAGGAACTATAGCTAATTCATCTTTGTACTTTCTTCAGCTCAAGATACAGAATTTTGGTGTAAGTACTGAATATGTATTGAATGAAAGAAAAAGGAGCAAATAAATGAATAGTTTGTAGGACAGTAACATAGGTTCAGAGAATATCAAGTCAGAAGAAATCCCAAGATTCTGAGAAATCTTTGCCAGTTTCTCAGAGCAAATGATACTAATCTAGTATCTTGATGGCTTGGACCACTGATGCCTTGATTCTGGAAACTTAAGCAACTAAGTATTTCAAATTTGGGTCCCTAAAGATGTAAAAATGATAAGAAATGTTAGATTCACCTACTGTAGCCTTATTTTCAGACCAATGGCCAGAAAAGGTGCCAACTGTGAAAAATCAGGATCACATTTCCATCAATTGAACCAAAGGCCTTAAAACTATGTTTAGGCTTTTAGAGTGCTGACTTTAACCAAGAGGCGATCCAGTGTAGGAAAAGAGGACAGGCTTTGGAATAAAATATGACTTAAATCCACATTCCTCCATTTACTCACAGCTTGACTTTGGCAGGTCACTTAATATCCTAGACCCTCTTTTTCTTATGGACAAAATGGGGATAACAACAATATCTGCTGTACAAACATGTTTAAAAATCATATAAGATTATATAACCAAATTACCTAGCATAGTACATTCTTGTGCAGAGTAGACAATCAATACATTTCTTCCCCATCTTGTAACTTTTATTTCAGCACATTAGCTCCCAGTGTAAAGAGACATGTAATTTTAAAGCTTTTTTCCATTCAGTTATCATAACTGATTGAGGACACCACACTGCACAATCTCAGGAGTTATGCAGAATGACAGCCCCTGTACATGCTGTTCCTGTCTCAGGACTATGAGCCATCACTTTCTGCTCAGAATAATTACTTGGTGTATCTACACTTAAGGCTGCAAACAACATGAACTAACTGGAGGAAGCCGGGTATTCATGGATGACCCAATCTCTGACTCAAACAAATCAAATCACTGAAGAATCATAAATTCACCTTTCTTTGTAGCTTCCAAGCCAAAGAAATTATAGAAGTCACAAGTGCGCCTGTTTCACAAAAATATCAGCAGTATATAGCAAATAAGTATCTCTGCTTTTCAATAAGTAAAGGGTGGAGATGATTAACGTTAACGGGAAAATTAAATTACTCTCAAGCAGTCAGAAATTACTGTTTGGTTCACCAAGTCACACAAAAGACAGTCTGAAGTCAAACAACTGCAGCTAATTCGTCTTGTCATTGATGTATGTTGTATTAGGATTCTCCAGAGAAACAAAACAAATGGATATGTTGGACGCAAAGAGAGAGAGAGAGAGAGAGAGAAGCACAACTGATGGATATGTTGGAGGCAAAGCGAGAGAGAGAGAAACAGAACCGATGGATATGTTGGAGGCAAACAGAGAGACAGGAAGAGAGAGATTTTAATTTGGCTTACATAATTGTGGGGCTGGCAAGTCCAAAATCCATAAAGCAAGCAGTCAGCCTGGAAGTTCTGCTAAGAGTTGATCTTGCAGTCTTTAGTCCCAATTCCTTGAATTTCCAAGCAGGATTTCTATGTTGCGGTCTTAGGGCAGAATTCCTTCCTCTTCAGGAAACCTCAGTCTTTCCTCTTAAGGCCTTCAACTGATTGGATGAGTTTCACCTGCATTACAAAGCCTACTCTGCCTTACACAGAACCTACTGATTCAAATACTAATCACATCTGAAAAATACTTTCACAGCAATATCTAGACTGGTCAAACAACTGTGCACCATAGCCTTGCCAAGTTGACACATAAAATTAACCATCATATATCTCTTGCTTGTCCAAATGGTTTGCTTTTCTTGCTATTCTAATCATATAGATAATTTTTTCAGAGCTTTCTCCAAATTTTCTGCATGTTTGAAACACTTTTTCCTGAAATAGGAGGTGACTGTTTTTCAGTGTAAGCATTGAATAGTTTGTAAATAAAGTAGTTCCTATTACCTGTCATGTAGTTCATATTTATTACACAGAGGAAAATGTAGAACTTTAATTTCATGATACCTCATTGGTCATGGTTAGATTCTTCAAGATCAGAAATAGTTTTTGTTTTGGAATTCACAGAATGAATGCATATAAACTCTTTTAATTCACACTGGCCAAATGTATCCTCTCGATCTGATGCATTTTCATTTAAAGAGCATCTTTATTACTAAAATAAATACCACTTAGCTTGTAGAATAGAAAGCAGTTTAGGCATTTTATTATTTTTACTTACTGAAAGACTCTTCAGCTGATTTGCCTTATTTCATGTTCACCGGTGATTAGAGAATCTGATGGATGACATTTTATCGCCTACACTTTGGCCACAGATGTAATCAATCTGCTCTTGGCTAGCCTTGATGGGGCCTGTCCTTCCCTGGGGCACCAATCTAAGAGCTGCACAATGTTTAAAAAGCACCTTGCATCTCAGTAGCTGCATACCAGGAGGATGAACCTGCCTGTTTTGCCTACCAGAGTCACAACCTGGCCACTTTGCTTTCAAGGCTTTCTGCGACGTGTCCTTACAACATTCTAACTGCTGGGACATCCTCTGAAGCCCAGCAGCGATTCTCCCATCTGGGCCACCTGGGAATTCTCAAAGGCACCCTATCTCAAAACGGACTCCAGCAGCAGCAGCGTATTCGAGGAACTGTCAGAAATTAAAAATTCCCAGGCCCTGCCCCAAACCTAGTGAATCAGAAACCATGTGTGGGGGCCAGTAACTTGCATTTTAACAGGCCCTCCTTGTGATTCTGACGCACGCTGGAGTTCAAGAACTGCTCGAAGCTGAAGGCATAGCACATGTCCGTTCCCAAAGCTCCAAGTGACACTCATAGCTGCATTCCTGCATCATGATTTTCATTTCTAGACTAGACAATTCCCAGTGGTTCTTTTATATATGGTAGGATCATCAAGCTTTGCAGTTTCGTGAGGTCTTTCTTTTCTCTTCTTTTTGTCTTTGTTATGCATTTGTTATTGGTGTTTTTTGCTCAGTGTTGTGGTTATAAGCTAAAGAAATTAGTTCAATGTGAAAAACAGTACTTTTGCTGAAAACTGATCCTCAGCACATTATTTTAAATCCTTCCTTCAAATCCTACTGAACACACGTTTCTCCCCACCATGAGTCTCAATATTGACCCTGAATATCCCCATAGCTCGATGTGAATATGCCTTTGTCAGCACCATGACATGGGTGCCAGCCGAGTTAGACGCTGGTAAAACTACCCTAAGAAATAGGAATAATTCCCTTGCAATTGGGCGCAGCCATAGAGGATGGCTGAACTTTCCAAGAATTATATATCTGTTAGATTTTTAAGTTCTTCCAAAGCCAGGGCATATATTTTACTCTTTTGTGAAAATTTGTTGGATGAATTAGGGAATTTATGGCATAGGCCAGATTGTTACTGAGTTTGGGAGAGCTTTGAAACCTGTGAAGTTTATAACAACAATAAAACAATAGCCACTACACATGTTAACGTTTTGAAGAATCAGCTAGTCAAACATCCTTGTTTAGGGGAAAGGAAATTAGGAGCAGAAATTTACATCCATTAGGCCTGTGAAAGAAAAATAGTTTGTTTTTGTTTTTTTAAGTAGCAACAAAAAGTAAGCAAGACCATATGCAAGAGAAAAGTCAGCATTAAAAAATTAAAGATGAGGCCAGGTGCAGTGGCTCACGCCTGTAATCCCAGCACTTTGGGAGGCTGAAGCAGGTGGATCACTTGAGGTCAGGAGTTCAAGACCAGCCTGGCCAACATGGTGAAACCCCATCTCTACTAAAAATACAAAACTTAGTGGGGCATGGTGGCAGGCACCTGTAATCCCAGCAACTCAGGAGGCTCAGGCAGGAGAATTGCTTGAATCCGGGAGGCAGAGGTTGCATTGAGCCAAGATGGTTCCCCTGCACTCCAGCCTGGGCAACAGAGTGAGATTCCATCTCAAAAAAAATAAAAATAAAAAATGAAACCAAGCCTCAAATAGTGCCTGCAATGCCCTTCACCCAGATATGAGAGTGGCTTTCTCCTGGACTTCATTCCGGCCTCCTCCCCAGGACCTCCTTCCCTGATCTCCTGTCTGAAGCCCTAACGCCCAAGCCCACCCCACTCAGAATGCTCCACTCCACTTCTGCTTCATATCCCTTCCTCACTTTTACTGCTACCTGATTTTCTACTTCAGTCAGTTGCTTATTTGCCTGTCTCCCGAGGATTATGGCAGGAATTTTATGTTTTATTTATTGCTGGATTTTCCCTGCTTTTAGCACATAGCGGACATTCAATCAATATTTGCTAAGTGAGTGGATGAAAGAAAGAAGAAAGAAATGAATACAAGTCCTTGAGCCATGAGTGAAAAACTTTGTAAACTATCTAATTGCTATAGGCTTTCTATACAAGTAATTTTAATTTGGAGAGAATCACAATCTCTTTGTGTATTTTATGAAAGCTAGGGATTATTTTCTTAACAAAAAAATACATATGCACAAATAAACTTGGCATGCAATTTTAGAGGTTCTGATTGTTAAGCAAATTTTCTGAAGATGAAAGCCACCTACTCTCCTTATTTCAAAACAGGCGACATAATGACAGGGCATCTCTGCCCTGTGTCCTACCAGAGACCAAATGTGATTTTAAAACAGCACACAAGTATCAACAAAATATCTAAAATACTCACCTGTAATCTGTTGCCTGGTGTGATGATTCCTAGAGATGTAGTCTCTAAAAGGAAAATATGGTAACTTAAAGCTAGATAATTGAAAGATGATGCTGTATTTATTGAGCACTTGCTATTTGCCTGGCACCCTGCTAATTGCTTCACAAGCCTCCTCTTGTTATTACAAATACCCTAGAAGGTTGTCGCTGGCAGCCAGAAAAATCACATATTGTGCCTTGTCCTCCGTGAGTTGGAAGCCAATTATTCTATCACTTGCATAGTTGTTTTTAACTTTGAAATTTTTTCTTACGTGCATCATTTCAATGTCTTTTAATCTCATGGCAACTGATGACAAAAGTAGTTTGGTTTGCATAATTCCTATTTGACAAGGAAGGGAATGATTCAGTTAATTAATTCATTACCAATCATTCTGCAAACATTTACTGAGCCCGTATTCATAGAAATTACCTTTCCTTATTACCAGATATACGCATTGTTACATATGAAGTGCTTCTGGTATAAAAATTCAAATCAGTATGTGTGTTTTATTTAATTGCTTGGTTAACCTACACATATTTTGTGTGCAAAATAATTAAAGGGTACAAAAGTAAAATTATCGATGTTTCTGACAATTACTGATTTCTGTGAAATTCTTTGATTTCCACCTGCAAAAGACAAAGGCTATTTATTGTTACTCAATTATTTCAATAATTGAGTAAGCTGAAGATTCCATGTCGCTAGTTGGGCAGGTAGCTCACCTCCTGTGATCTGGGTGTGGAACCACTGGTTTTTGGGATGAGGTGAGCCCTTCAAGACCATCTGGCTTATCTTCACGTACAGATGAGGTGTGGGGACATGGGAAATAGACTTCTCAGAACTGAACTTCTCAGAGTCAGGGATCAGAGCTTGTTCATCTTTGTGTCTTCACAAAAAGAGTCATTGGTAAAGGATAAATGCTCACTAAATATTTATTTGCTTAATTGGTATCTAAACTTGGTTTTTATAATATGTAATATGTTCCACTACAGTAAGGAGAGTTTCTCTTTTTGTAGCAGTAAATTGCAGAATGATTTATTCTTTTCTAATAAAAATCAAGCAAGGGCCCAATGCAGCAACTCTTAACTTCAGGATTTGAGCTCAGCTAGGGTGCCAGCTACAGCCTCAACCACAATTATTTCCAGTTAAACTAAAATAGTATTTTTTTCGAACCATGGCTTTGTGACTCTAATTTATTTTTAACCACCTGTAACGTAAATTGTCTCACTTGATTTTCCCACAAACCTGTGACTGGTTGAGATTATCATCCCAGTCCCCAAGAGGTGGATTCTAAGGGAAAGAACAACCAAGTGTCCCATCTAAGGTCAAAAGCAAGTGGGGACAAAATTGCAGCCAGTCCAGGTTCTTTCAATTGCACAGAACTATTTGCAAAGCAATGTTATGGCAACTTAGAGGAAAACTCTCCATTTAACTACCATATTAAGTTCCTCTAGCTATACTATCTGGCTAGGAACACTGAAGTATACTACTCAACGTATGATAGGGGATCAGTATTGATAGAAAGAATAAATGAATGAAGTGTAATAAATTGCATATACAATTCCTATATGGGGATTTTTTTCATGGAGTTTATATCACTAGCAGTACAAAGAGTGGAACTACTCACTTCTTTACACTCTTGTTTAATTCAATTATTTAGTTAATATGGTATTATACTTTTCTTTGTTGCTCAGAATCTATCCCTGTTAAACAACAGTAATGGTACATTTTCCAGCTTTATTGTACCAAAACGGATGGGAAAGATGCTCTGTAGGTAAAATTACATATGTACATATTCTTACATATACATTATCTTGGAAATTTAGATTTCTTATAAGTTGTCTTTCCTACAATTTTGTCTTATCCTCCTAAATTCTCTGATATTCACACAGAAAATTGAGCAGTGTGGATAGGCATCAGAATCTGTGCCCTAATTTTTCCATCTATTTACAATTCATGATGTTAATGTGATTGTCAAATCAAATCAGGGCATTAAAAATAACCACAAAATACAAATTTCCTAGAATATGTTGTCATTCTGCAACATGACCTTTGAAAATATTGGACTAATTATTTTTTTGTAGCAATTAGTAAATTCATCCTTAATTACAAATTAGGTAATCCATTATTCTGAAATCGGACAGATAATTAGTAATTTCATTTAAAAGTAATTGTAATTGAATCAGAAATATCTTTACTAACTCAGAAAACACACTGCCAAATCTAATGTGTGTTATGGAAATGATATCCACATTCTACATTTTTCATATAGGCCACCTTTTGTGTGCTGCATGATCAAGATTTTAATAGAGCAAAACTGTAGAGAAATTAAATGCTCTTGTAACCATCTGGAATTTACGTCTATGCTAAAGGCATTGTCAAGCAGGTATTTGAACACATCTTCCTTCTGTTTCTATTTTCACCCCAGGAAGGAAGTTATACTTTTCCTTTTGCCTTTGACCAGAAACAATTGATTTTGTTTTACTTGGTTTATATTTTTCATTTCATCTGCTTTAGCTAACTATTAGTAAGTCATTTACTTCTTAATTATTTCTATATCTTAATATTAGGAAAAAAATGACAAATTTGACATCAGTCTTAATGTGTTAATTTTGTTTCCCTGGGTTACCATCAATGTCACATAGCAATAATATCCATTTATATTTGGGTGGCATACATTATACTATTAATATATTATGTACATTATTAATTGATTAATTAACACTATTTTGTATTAATCATTACAACAACCCTACATGTACTGTTCTTATACTCATTTTATAGATAAAGAAGGGGAGGTTGAAGGCAGGAGCATGTAGCTAGTACATGACAGAGCTTGTATTCAAACCCCATCTTCTGATCTTTCCAGTTTTTTCTACCACACAATAGATGCCATGATAAAACACATGGCTGAGCTGTGTGGGCCACCACAGTTGTTCAACCATGATGGCTTTATCTTGGTTTAGTCTCAGTAGCTACAAACCTAACAATAAAAAACAAGCTAATCTCATGCTTTGAGAAAAATAATACTTCTTTGTTTTGAGAGTTTAAAAACTTTCTCCTGGAATTGTGACTTTTCGTAGTCTGAAAAATTAATATAGTGTAACAAATATTATTTTATTACATATATTGATACTTTAGAATTTCTACCACTGTAATTCTACCTTTGATTTCAATAATCAACCACAGTGTCTTGGGGTCAAGCACTTTCACCTTAGGACTGGGTTTATGTTAGAAAAAAAAACTTTATTAAGGGTTCTACTTTCCTAGACTTGAGCAAATAATGGAATATGCTTCAAAGACTTAGATGAATGAACTTCAGCTCATATTGGAAGATTTACAAGGAAAATAATTAATTCAATTATATTTTCAAAAGAAAGATGAGCCTTTAGAAATATGCCTTCTGCCCAGTTTTTGTAAAGATTCTGAATATCAAATCTTTTCCCAGTTAAAATTCCAGTACAATATATAATAAATAGTACCTTCATAAGTGAAAATATTACATAATTTAATGTTTTATAATTTGTAAAAACAATTTTTATGAAAGAAAACTTATTCCTTGCAAAAAAATCATATTTTGAAATTAACAAGTCATGATTACACATGACTTAGTGTGGGTACAATAAATAATAGTTGATTAATTTTGCTTTTTAAATTGTCAAGCAGAGAATCATCGCAGACTTTATATACCCATGCTATATAAAGTCTGCCATGATTCTATGGAACAATAGATCCAGGTTTGGCTTGAGCATTTTGTTTGTTATCAATATTTTCTATAAGGCATAATATGTAATATACATTATCCTACACTTCTTGGAGATCTACTCTTATGAAGGACAGGGGTTTCCATCAGCTTGCCCACAGGATGACTTTACCATGAGGAAAATGAGGATGTTAGTTTCATATATGCTTTGAGAAACTTCAATCGAGGTTTAGAGAACCCTCCCTTAATTGTCTTCCACTCTGCATCAGGAAGTCTCGTGCCTTGACGATAAATATGAGCTGATCTAGAAAAGACTTTTTGTGTGCTCACATTGATTTCTCTACAAATATTAGTATTCCGTAGAGAAAAGTGTTGATCAGCATGTCCTTGGTTTCTATACCCTCTGAATATAAGTCCCTTTCTTAAAATTTAAAAAAGTAGTTTATAGTTGAACTCTACTGTACTTTAGTCAAGTTCTCTACCCATTTGCCTGATTTCCTTCAATCCTGCTAGCTGCTATTTCTCACACTCCTTTGCTCTTCCTCCTCCAAGAGGCTTCTAAATTGTGGCAGACCCCAAGGCATTTTCTCCAGCCATCCTTTCTTCCTGTCTCTTTTCTCTTTGGAAGATCTCATCCTGCCCCCATAGTCTTAAAAACACCTTGGAGGCTGATGATTCTAAAATGTATACCTGCAGCTTGGACCTCTCTCCTGAGTCCAGACTTGTCTCTCCCTCCTTGGCTTAGCACAGTGACAACCAGCTAGAGCCCCTGAGCCAGATTTTCTGTGGGCTAATTCAGACTCTGCCATTTATTACAGCCTTAACAGTCACAATAGCAGTCCCTATTTCCAGATAAAGTTAAGAGGCATAAATGAGCTATTGCCCCTAAAAGGGCTTAGAGCAGCGCCTGCCACATAATAGGCATTGATAAATAATAGCTATGATTATGACTTAAATCTCTACTTTGGACATCTAACAAGCATCTCATTTTTAACATGACAAAACCAGGACAACTGGTGTTTTCCCTCTGTACCTTCTGATACACCAGATTTTCAGCCAAGATCAAACACCCAGAAGGAATTTTTGATTCTTCTCTTTTCTTCAAATGACTCATCCAGTCCATGCGTTAGTAAGTCCTGCCCACTTTATCTACAAAATAACTCCTGATGTTTTCCTCTTGCCTTGTCCTTGCCCAGAGACAATTGATGTCTGTCTCCCACAAACCTGGTTTGGTCCCCATTGTTTCCTAGCTGGTCTCCTGCCTTCTCCCCTGCCTGCGCAGTCTACCCCATGTGCACAGTGATCTTTCTGCTTATTAATCCACTTATGATACTCTTCTTGCTTAGAACTTCCAGCTGCTCCCCATTTCTGCCAACATAAAACTCCTCCAGGGGGGCTCACAGATCTGGCCTGTCCCTGCTCCCTGACCTCTTGTCCCTCTCTTCTCCCCCATCTTCCACTGTGCTAGCAGTGACACTAGCCTTGTCTCTGTCCTTTGAGCACACCAAGCTCCTTTCCCTCCCAAGGTCTCCGCATCTGCAACTCCCCCCTGCTTCTCTCCTCTGTGTCACTGCTTGCAATGCTATCTCCTGGTTATTCATGGTGCAACTCAAATGTCACCACCATGAGAGCTGACGTCCCTGGTAACCTTGACTAAAGCCACTTCTCACCCCCTCTCCAAGCATCCCTCGCTCTCCACCATATGGCCTTATTTTCTCTTCTTCCTAACAGTTATCTAAATATGACATTGACTTATTTGTTTTCCATGTCGTTAGGCAATCTTCCCCACTGGAAGGTCAGCCTCATGAGCAAAGGGGCTTTTCAAATTCTGTTCATCACTGTTTTCCCAGTATGTATAAGGTGTCTGGCACACAGAGAAGACACTTGAAAATTTTCTGTGTCTGAATAACTCTGTGTTTGCTAAGATCTTTTAAAGCTGTCTACTCTATTGTGAAGCCTCATAAAATAAACATGTTTGTAGATATCTAACAAAGTGATGTTAGGTAAAGAAGGAGAATGTGTCATTTGAAACCATTTAGGGAACCCATTTAGTTTGAGTTACTATAAATTTTGTTGTACACATTGTAAATAAAGCTATATTTTAAATAAGGGGGCGGGTGAGAACACATGAAGGGTAGTTCTGTTACAAGCAGGAGAGCCATTTCCCACTGCATCTTGAAATGCCCTCGTTAAGCAGTTTCAGTCTTAGAAAATGTTTATTTTTGCCAGCCATGATCGTTTACACCTGTTGATCCCCACATATTGGGAGTCTAAAACAGGAAGATCACTTCAGTGCAGGAGTTCAAGGCCAACCAGGACAAAACAATGAGACCCTCATCACTAAAACAAAAAAAACAAAAAACAAACAAACAAACAAAAATCAGCCAGGCACGGTGGTGCTCAGGTGTAGTCTCAGCTACTCGGGAGGCTGAGGTGGGAGGATGGCTTGAGCCCAGGTGTTCCAAGCTGCAGTGAGCTATGATTGTGCCACTGCACTCCAGCCTGGGCAATAAAGGAAGACCCTGTCTCTAAGAAAAGAAAAAAGAAAGGATGACAATTTTTATTCTGTATCTCAAAGAAAATCTTGTATAACATTGATAGGTAGGGAATATTTTACAAAAATGTATTCATGCATGCAATAAGGACAAAGAAAAAATAATTTAAACAATTTATATAAGTAGTAAGTGCAATATGAAAAAACTGTAATATATTTTTAAATTAAATTCAGTTAGTTTTTCTAGAATCATAGTGTTGCCACAATTCTAGAGAGGTAATTTAGTCCATTTCTCTGCCTTTAGGGAGGATAAACATAAATTTTATTTTCTTTAAACCTTTGGGCAGGAGATTTTGGCATCCGAGAACCACTCTTAAGAATCTATTTCAGCAGTGACTCAGTCAAATACACAAAAAAATCACATTTTAATATATTGTTCCAAATAAACTATATTAATTCTGTAAAATAACAATTAACCTAGGTTAATTAATGGGTTAATCAAGTAACTCATAATTTACTTGTTAAAGAAAAAGCAAACTCAAGAAAATCCATGAATAGTGGGCCAGACATGGTGGCTCACGTCTCTGGGAGGCCAAGTCGGGCGTTTCACTTGAGGTCAGGAGTTCGAGATCAGCCAAGCCAGGCCAACATGGAACCCAATCTCTACTAAACATACAAAAATTAGCGGGGCGTGGTGGTGGACATCTGTAATCCCAACTACTCAGGAGGCTGCGGCAGGAGAATCGCTTGAACCCCAGAGGTGGAGGTTGCAATGAGCCGAGATCGTGCCACTGCACTCCAGTCTGGGCAAAACAGCGAGACCCCATCTTAAAAAAAAAAAAAAGACAAAAGAAAATCAGTCAATAGTGAACATTCAGTGTTTCCAGCAGCTACCAAGGTATGCTATGTGTGCTCTGGTCATTCTCTGACTCTCAGGTATACTTCTTGAAACCAGGGAATGAACAGTGTAGCTCAGATAATTTGGAGCTGGAGGCACTGCAGGAACCAATCTTTATAAAAAGATTGCATTGTGTTCATTACGCTTTATTCGCTAAGGCAGGAAAATATGCTAATGCACTTTACAATGATTTTCAAAAATGGTTGAAATAAGGTGTTTTGTGTTTTGTTTTTAATTTAAAGGGGCATTAAGAAAAATAAGCAATTACATTCCATGTCCAATCAAGGTTTTACTGTATGTGACTTAGAGGTCATTAAAAATGCTGAAGCTAATTTATCAGTTTAAAAATAATAGTTCGTCATTTTGTGGAAGCTGACATCAACCTAACATGGTTTGAGTCTTTGTGTGTAGAAGTTACATACATTGTCCCCTGGTCACATTCTCAACATGTTATGTCAAGAAAGCGTCTAGGAAAAAGAAAGAAGGCACAGAAAGGATCATATTAAAGCCACTTAAAACAAGGAGTGAGGACTGACTCAGTGCCAATATCAATATTTTATTCCTTTTGGTAGGCAAAAATTTTTGTGCTTCTGAAATTTTAGAAACTTCAAAAAATAGGTTGTACTTTTAAACAGAAAGTAGAAAATATTGAGTTTCAGGTTTTATGAAAAGTTTCTTGGATTTGGTGGGGATTTTTTTTTTTATTTTTTGGTTTTGGGTTAGTTGGGGGTTTCTTCTGATGTTTCTGTCTCCATCATTTCTGAATTAGAACATAGACATTTTAAATTTGAGAGCATTATATGGTGCACAGAATTCAGCTATGTGACAAAATTACACATACTGATTCTTTCCCTTTTTTGATCCTCTGTAGCAATAGCTATTTTAACAAAACACTATTTATCCTCATAATAACCAGTCCTCAACTTGGAAGTTCTTTACTCAATCTTCTTTGGAGTGTTGCCTTTATTGAGCCAGACTTATTAAAATACTATTCAGCTTAGAACTTGTTCTCTATACTTTTAAGCCATGGATTCATAGCCTCAGATCTCTGAGCAAAAAAGAATCCTACCAATTGGAATTGCCACCCAAACGAATACCAGGTTTACTCCTATCAATCATTATTTTCCAGAGTAGCCAATGTGGTGCTTACAAAATAACAAAAATTAAAAATTGAATTAAAAGTTTGGGCTTGTTTACAAACCACCAATCTGTATAGTGTCCCAGTAAAACCACTGTGACCATTTATTTACTAGAAGGCTGCAATAAGAGACCAGGAATCCACCCAAAGGAACCAGAGGAACCTGGCTCTGGGCGAATCATAAAGAAGGTAGTGAGCTTTTCTCCTCCTGGTTTGGATACCCTTGGTGCTCATTGTGAGCTTTCTGGATTTATTCTTTGCTTTATTTTTTTTCCTCTTCATGTCTATCCATTATGTTTATTTTAACCTAATTTCAAGTGTGTAAACATTTTGCAGAGGGTGGAACACCTACCTATAAGGCTAACCTGTTTCCACGCTCATGAAAATGAGCCTTGTAAGGAAAGGTATTTTGAGTCATGTTCAGTTTGTAGAGGCACAGAGAGTCTGAAGAAAAGTTTAACAAGTAAACAAGATTAAAAAATTCAAAAGGAAGGTAGTGAGGAAAGACAGATGTAGTAATCCTAACCCCTGGTCACCTCATCCCCTCTCACTGTGTGTTTTTTGTCTATACCTGTGACCTGGGCCTTGAAACATGATGCAGAGACCACAGCTTCATGATAGGAAGGCCCTTGATTAGCAAAGAAGACGTAGAGGAAGGTAGCTAGTGACTGGTTTGAATGTGCTGGCCTATATAATTATCTAGAATTAATATTTGCTCAGAGCTCACAGAATACACAACATTCTGCTAAAGGAGGGTGGCATGGAAAAAGAGGCAGAGATCAACAGACCTGTAACCTAGCTCAGCAAGGTAGACCTTTGTGTTCAGTCAAAAGTTCATGAGGATTCCATTGAATATGTAAAAATCAAAACATGTGTGTACATAGTTTGCTAACGTTCCACCTCTGCCAGGTTGTGCTGGGTTATTTTGATATCAGATGAGTCAACCAGCCAAAGGCAAAAAATCGGTCTTATTTTTAAACACTGGATAATAGGCTGGGTGCGGTGGTTTATTCCTGCAATCCCAGCATTTTGGGAGGCCGAGAAAGGGGGATCAGTTGAAGACCATCCTGGGCAACATAGCAAGATTCTGTCTCTACAAAAAAATTTAAAATTATCCAGACATTGTGGTGTGCACCTGTAGTCCCAGCTACTGAGGAAGTTGAGGTGGGAGGGTCACTTAAGCCTAGGAGTTAGAGGCTGCAGTGAGCTACGATCATGCCACTGCACTCCAGCCTGGGTAACAGAGCAAAATTCTGTCTCTAAATGTAAAAATAAAAATAAAAAATAAACACTGGATAATGAAGCAATGTTCTTTTCTCAAACTCTACAACAAATAAAACCTAAGTATTAAACATGGACTTTGTACACTTGTGTATATATCAATCAATAACCATTACTTACTACATGAAAGTTACCACACTGGTATAGAGAGGACAAAAAGAAAGAAAATACATACACAGCTCCTGTTCTTAAGGATCCTAAGAGTTTTGCTGGAGAAACAGGGCATGACATTCTAATGTATATATAAGAATATGCAGAAAGATTTTAAATCATAATGTATATCAGAAAAATTCTGCATTAGTGGTGAAAATATTTCCTAATCATAGAACAGATGAGGAGTTTAAAATAGCCCTAAACCAAGTCACCCCAAAATTTAGTAGAAAAAAGTCAATATTTCTAGAAGTCATTTCTTTCTTCTAGCTTCCCTGAACTGTAGTTGTGATGGGAAGGAGGTAGCTATTGATAGAATTTACCATATATAGATTAGGTGATGACTGGGGTTAAACCAGTCTGGGGATGACTAGATTCCATTTATCCCACAGGCCAGAATCAACAACAGGGATATATCCTAGTAAATTCTAGGATACAACTCCAACCTTGACCCCCCTTCTATGCATCCCAATGATCTGGACCAATATTATCATTTTCTATGAATGTATGTCTTGACGTGAAAAAATTGGAAAGCTCTATAGGACCAGCAGATAGTCATAAATCCAGAAAGTAATACTTGTTTTCAGAATCAATTTGGGAGAGGGGATGAGGAAAAGGTATTTACTCATTTGGTCTCCCCATCTAGACTGTGATGAGCCACTCCAAGGCAGGACTCGATTCTTCATCTTTTTCCCAGAGCTGAGTTGATGCTCCTGTGATATTTGTTCAAATAATGAATTGGATGAATCAATGTCTGGATCAGTGATTCAATGAATAAATGTCTTTGCTTCCTACCCTCCAGCTTCCTCTTCAACTCACTCTGATCCAGCTTCCCATCCCCTTCACATTTCCATATCTACGCTTGCTGATTTTCTTCAGTGACTTCCACATTGCAGGATGAAATGATCACATTTGCATTCTCATCTCACCTAGTCCCAGATCACTCCAGCCTATTGACTGTCCAGCTCATTTTGGAAGAGTCTGTTCCTTCCGCTTCTGTGACATCACACTTTTCTGGTCTTCCCCTTTCACCTCTGGCTGGTGCTCATCACATCACTCTGCGGGCTCCTCCTGAATTGGGCCCTTGAGTACCTGCATCCAGTCTCAAGCCCACTCCCTTCCCATGTCAAAGTCTCAAAATATAAGGTCCTCATCTCCCCAGCTTCAGATACCCTCAAACTTATATTTCAGCCAAGACCTCTATTCTCACCTCCAGACTCCTAAAACCAGTGGTTTAAAAGTTTCACAACTCTCTCTAGTTGAGCTTCTCCAAAAACAAATTCAGCTCCTGTGATGACCTAGTCCACTTCAGCTGCAGTCTTCTCTACCTATATAGATGGTACTTTCATCTTCTCAGCTTCACAGGGCAAGAATCTGAGAGGCTTCTTCGACTGTGACGTCTTCTACACTCCCGCAATCAACCCAGAACCAAAATACACCTCTCTCTCCAAAATATAACTGAGGCATGAATACTTCTCCCCATATTCATCACTAGCAGCCCAGCCAAATCAGCAGTCAGTTCTTTCTTGAGCTGTTACCACTTACCTGTCAATGCCATCTCTACTCTCATCCCCTTCTTCCAGATATATCCTCCTCATAGGAGCCACAGAGATCTTTTGAAACCACAAATCACATCATTTATCTACTTAAAACCCACGTATAGGTGCTCAGTGCTTATTAGCATCAACTACAAGGGCTTGCATGATCTAGTGACCGCCTCAGCAGCATCATCTTGTGCTCCCTTTTCCATCACTCACCAGATTCCAGCTAGTCTTTTCTATTTTAAGATCCTAGCTTGGAACTCTTGCCAAGATTCTTACCTAGAACTTTTGCACATGTAGTTCCCAGTCTGAGGAGTGCTCTTCCACCTATACTTTGCCTTGTTCATATTTAGGTGTCAAATGAAATGTTAGTTCCTCAGAATAGCTAAATGAAGTTACCCTCTCTGAACTTTTCTTTGTAACACTCTCCACAGTGTTTAATTAATGGCCATTCATTTAATTATTTGTTTAACATTGACATCCCCCACTATGCTGTGAGCTTCATAAGGCCAGAGACAATGTCTACCTTTGTTCACTGCTAATATCGCTAGTGCTTGGCACAGTGCCTGATACAGAGTAGAGGCTCAGTACATTTTTGTCAAGTGGATGGATGGATACTATGCAGTGGATATAGGAAACAGAAAATAGGTTTCAGCTGGGGACAGTGGCTTAAGCCTATAATCCTAACAATGAGAACCTGAGACAGGAGGATTGCTTGAACCCAGGAGTTCAAGACCAGCCAGGGCAACATAATGAGAAACCCCCACCCCCACCGCCCACTCTACAAAGAAAAAAAAATGCCAGAAATAAAAAATTAAAAAATAAAATATGTTTTATGCTTTAATAAGTATGGGCACAAAACACTAGCAAAATGTAATTGCATTATTTGTAAATCCAGCAATTTCTATCTGAATTCTAGAAATAGTCTTTCTTGGTCAGATCCCATTTGGGGCATCACTCTTTGATGCCTACTCCACACTACCTAAAACTGCAAGTGGGGCCGGGCGCAGTGGCTCACGCCTGTAATCCCAGCACTTTGGGAGGCCAAGGCGGGCGGATCATGAGGTCAGGAGATCGAGACCATCCTGACTAACATGGGGAAACCCCGTCTCTGCTAAAAATACAAAAAAAAAAAAAAAAAAAAAAAAAATAGCCGGGTGTGGTGGCGGGCGCCTATAGTCCCAGCTACTCAGGAGGCTGAGGCGGGAGAGTGGCATGAACCTGGGAGGCGGAGCTTGCAGTGAGCCAAGATCGTGCCACTGCACTCCAGCCTGGGCAACAGAGCGAGATTCTGTCTCAAAAAACAAAACAAAACAACAACAACAACAAAAACTGCAAGTGGTCTCTGTTTCTACTGATCACAAATTCACCTTGGGTGCAGCCATATGCACAACAGTTCATTCAATCACACCAGCATGTTCTCCTAGCTCGGTACTTCTCAAAATATGATTCCTAGAGCCGGAGCAGTGCTGCCTGAGAACCTGAAGAAAATATAACTTCTTCAGCCCCACCCTTGATCTAATGACCTACAGAATCAGAAAACTTTGAGAGCAGGCCCGGTAGATGATTCCAATGCACGCTGAAGTTTGAGAACCACTGGGCTAGCTAACCTGGAAAGGGAATACCTAGGAGTCCCAGGTTTACCGTTTTACAACTTAGACATACCTGATTTGTCAGGCTCTTTTGGCAAACTTGGTGGAGACAAGATAATTTGGAGCCAATGTTGGTGTCCAACTTAATAAGCTGGCTCCAGTTGGGGTAGGGAAAGTAGTAGGCAGCTTTTGGGTTATGAGTGGCAAGACTATATGCACAATTATATGTCCTCTTCTTTAAAAAATTATAAATACGTAATGTTGTATATGTATTCTTTTTGGTCAGCCTTTGGATGTTCTACTATAACATGTCCCCAACTCTTAAGTAGAGGTCAGCTGAGGTATATAGGTCTATGCTATAAATGCAACCCTTCCATAAGTAAAAAGCTAGATCCTCTTATGGCCAAATGTTTCTCTCTTGAATATTTAGTGAAATTTGCATGTGGATTAGTTTTCTGTCTCTTAGATCTCATTTTTCATAATTTTTAATATCCTCATCATTGCCTTGCAGTATAGTCATGCATCACTTGACAGCGGGGATGCTGTCTGAGAATTGCATCATTAGGCAATGCACATCCTTGTGCAGACATCATAGAGTGAACTTACACAAACCTATATGGTATTTATTTATTTATTTTTTTTATAAGAAAAACCAAATAGCGCAGCACCATTACTGAATGTCAATCATTTCCTCTACTATGCAATGCCAATATCAAGTGTCATACATCCGGTTTCTATATATGCTCCATTATAATCATATGGGACCAACATCATGTATAGAAAATCATCGTTACAGTGCATGACTGTACTAAGTCTTTATTACATATTGGATGACTGATTAAAAGCTATTTTCTTACTTTAATTGGAAATAAACATAAAGCGCTACATGTTTTAACCTGTGATGCAAGAAGACAATCTTTTCTTTTAATGCCCATTTTTCCCAGAGAATATTCTCTCCTGAACTTAATCAGTGATAATGCCGAACGTTCTTTATTCTGTAAGTTCCTAAATCGTTATAGCATTTTCCACATGTTTTCAGAGGTTGGTCTTTACATGAAAGACCCATGGTTGACTGAGACTTGTTCTTGGACAGCATGCTTTGTTTATGTCTCTGCCTTAGGATCAGGCTTCAGAAACTACCCACTCATCAACCAGCTTTTATATTTTACACCAGCATACATGACTCTGTGAGATTTTCTGTGTGTGTGTGTGTGTGTGTGTGTGTGTGTATACAGAACTATTGTCCCAGAACATGTTTACCTGTTTGGAAAGTGTTGTAGTGTTGTGCAATTTAGTAGGAATATGGGAAGCAAGAAAAAAATTTCTTGTACGTATCACATTATCCCTTTTTGCCGTCCGTGAAATAATCGAACAGTTTCCTCAAGGGACTGGCTCTGTTCTGAAAACCAAAAGCCCATTAGTCTCACTCCTACTTCCTTTCCAGGCCTCCAGAGCTCTGAATAAACCATACTAGCAAACAGCCTACACTGACCAACTTCTGAGATTTCTCTTTTCCTCTTTTTGTTTTTACCTAGTTGTTTTATAAATTGCCAAAAGTTACAGAAGGCTAAAAAGAAACCTCTCTGTTGTGAGCTTTACCTCCAGTACCTTTGTTATATCTGTTTTCTATGTGATGCATTTCAGAAAGTGTGTAATTTTAAGAAACTTGGGACGTATTTTAGCATTCAGTGTTTTAAAACACAAACAAACTAACCATTTGGATTATTTTATGATACATGATTTTTGCACAGTATCACCAAAGTGTTGTCAAAAGTCTATTTAATCTCCAATAGTCACCCTAGAAATACAGACAGACACACACACACACACGAAACACCTTCAAGATTCAAAGGAAAATACAATTGCATTTTGGTTGGCTTAAATCCAAAATTTTCAAGTTTAGTAAAGACTCTGCAACTGCTTGGTATGCAACAAGACTCTAATCTTAAAAAGTAACTTAAATTTTATATTTCATAAGTAAAAGTACATGGTTTATATTGAATTTGGAAGCTGAGCTTATGAAGGTTAGCACAAAGAAGAAAAAGTAAAATAAAACTATATCATGTTGATAAAGTTAGATCTTAAAATCTTTTTTTTTTTTTTTTTGAGACGGAGTCTAGCTCTTTTGCCCAGGCTGGATGGAGTGTGCAGTGGCGCGATCTGGGCTCACTGCAAGCTCCACTCCCAGGTTCACGCCATTCTCCTGCCTCAGCCTCCCGAGTAGCTGGGACTACAGGCGCCCGCCACCACGCCCAGCTAAGTTTTTGTATTTTTAGTAGAGACAGGGTTTCACCGTATTAACCAGGATGGTCTCGATCTCCTGACCTCGTGATCCATCCGCCTCGGCCTCCCAAAGTGCTGGGATTAGAGGCGTGAGCCACCACGCCTGGCCGATTTTAAAGAATTACACTAGAGACATGTCTACTACATATGCCTCAATAATATAAACTACTAAAAACCTTGAGTTTGCTTTTTAATGGTATTTCTGGAAATTCTTCTGTTAGCACATTTGAAAAAAATCTGCAGCAACAACAACAAAAAAATTAAAAACACCTTCAGATCTCTTTCTGATGCAAGACTCAAAAAAAATCAGTCGGATTTGTCAGACACTGTATTAACTATTCTTAAGTAACAGATCTGTCCCCAACAGGCTCAGTGGCACCTCCTGGAAGGCTGTAATTCAGCCAGGGCATTAAGGACATGGGGACACATTAACTGTCTCACGTAATTCGTAAACCACTTTGCTGAATTGATTTACACTAACTCCTTGCTGGAGCATCTTTCCAAATTCTCACTCTTTAAAATGCTTTTATTTTAGAATCAGAAAAATATTTATTTTCAAAAGAAATAATACCACCAGTTAACAAAATGCCTCCTTTATGTCTCATAGGACTGCTGTGAGGATTAAATATGTAAATATTCCAAACAATAAGGTATTCATTTTGCTGCATTCCCTTATCTCTATGTATATATAAAAAGGGCACGAATACCATATGCCTGACTATGCATGCTCACCTTAATATTTATTGTAAAATCTAAGTTCCTTAATGTTAGAAATCAATTTTTATTATTCTGTATATAGTTCCTACTTTCACTTAAAATATACAAGAGAGCTCAACAAATATAAATTAATAAAGGATGACCATCAACCCAAGCAAAATACTTAACTGCAAAGAATGATGCAAGAAAATAATAATAAAGAATAGAGGCCCACTTTCTGCCTATTTCCATTTTGTCTACTATGAAAGAAACTGTAATGTAACTGTAGCAGGAGAAATTTTTAATTTTTATATTGTCTTTGAACACAAAACCATCTTCTAAAGGAGCTTTAAGAAAACCTAATTCCCTAGGGAATAAGATGCACTTTTAGTTGAGTCATAGTTTTACAGATGTATATAAAATATAGTCATAAGTTCCTCATTTAAATATATAGGCAAATGCATTTGTTATTTTTTGCTGCATAGCAAATTTCCCCATAATTTAGCAACTTGAAACCATCATGAACGTATATAATCTCACACAGTTGCCGTGTGCCAGAAATTCAGGAACAGAGCTTAGTTGAGTGGATCTAGCTGAGCCTATGTCATAGGGTTTTCCACAGACTTGACTAGGCCTGGAGTGTCTGTCTTCAGTATGGCTCACTCACCTGGTTGTTGGAGGCCTTGCTTCCTTGCCATGTGACCCACAGGGAGCTGCTTGAGTATCCTCATGACATGGCTGCTAGCTTTCCCCAGCACAAACCTTCCAAAAGACAGTGCAAGAGGGAATCTGCAGTGCCTTATGGAATAGAGTCAGAAGTCGCATACCATCACTTCTGCCAGTCTATTAAAGAAGGGAACTAGGCTTCACTTTTTAAAAGGGGGAGTGTTAAAGAATTTGTGGACACATTTAAAACTCATCATAGCAAGCTCTATGAGAATTGCCATCCCCATGCAGTAAAGAAATATTACTTCTTAGAACTGATTCTAGTTTGACTCAGCTTTTTACTGACACACTTTTCCAAAAGAAACATAGCATATTTCAGCACAGATTAAAAATTATTTAAAATTTGGAACTTTAAAGATAAGCTAAAACTTTATAACTAAGAAAACTGTGATCTAAAGTGTTTAACCTTCTTAAGGTTATAGGACTAGATCTGAGGTCTCTAGATACCCAGTTTAAATCCTCAGCTGAGTTGAATTATGTTATAATGTCAGATGTATATGAAATCCAAGGTTATAAGTAAAATTCAATGTAATAATTTGTGTCCAACAAAATAAAAAAGGGTTTATGGGGGTACAAACAAATATAAATACTATCATACTTGCCCCTAACATACTTGTACTTTAAATAGAGTTAGAAGCTTTCAAACAAGTAACTAAAACAATTAAGATGATATTATTTGTTTATTTTAGCAACTGATATATTGTTCTTTCAAAGCTAAAATGATCAAAGGTATTCAACAGCAGTGGGTACTCATCAAAATAACCAGTAGATAATATTATAAATGTTTTAAGAAATTAACACATTTAATAAAAGCAATTTTGAAGTATTTTCTATTCTAAATTTTTCTTGTTATGAAGGAAAATTTATTACAGTTCTTAAAAGTACATGTAAAACACCAATGTAAATAATGCATTTGAAGAGAAATATTTTTCAGGTCTACTTCAATAAATCTTTAATTTTCTATTATTTAGGGTTCTCCAAATAGAGGATCTATGAAAATGCAGCATTTGTTAATGGAATTTTTACCCAGATACTAAAAAAAATATTTGCAGGAATTAAAAATAGACAACACAGAATGTAGCACATTTACTGAATTCCAATAACAGACACGTAGAAAATAGGTCAGCTCTCTCATCTGGCCTATGTCAATTTGGTGTGAATTATTATCAAGACAGCCTGCAAATAACAGCCAATTTTACAAGTATATTTGGATCTCATTTTACAAAATGATAGAAAATTGAGAAAACCAGTTTTCCTTAGAACTGGATGAATTATCCTCCTGATTCAAGGTATGTATGATGGTGACTTCCTGCAGAAAAGAATGCTGCTAACTGGAAAGAGGACAAGGCTTCATTACATTGGGGACATTCTCTTTACCACTAAAATGCTCTAAACTGTTTAGGTTTCTTTTTTTTTTTTTTTTTTTTTTTCTTTTTTGAGACTGAGTCTCTCTCTGTCGCTAGGCTGGAGTGCAGTGGTGCGATCTCAGCTCACTGCAACTTCTGCCTCCTGGGTTCAAGCGATTCTCCTGCCTCAGCCTCCCAAGTAGCTGAGACTACAGGCACGCACCACCACACATGGCTAATTTTTGCATTTTTAGTAGAGATGGGGTTTCACCATGTTGACCAGGATGGTCTCCATCTCCTGACCTTGTGACCTGCCCACTACAGCCTTGCAAAGTGCTGAGATTACAGGCATGAGCCATTGCGCCGGGCCAGTATTTCATTTTTGAATCACTTAATACTCTCCAGTTTTTCTATAGACTACTTCCCTGTTTAGCACATAGGTGAATAGACGTAAGTATTTTTTTAAAAGTTCTTTCCTGGTAGTAGATTTTGTATTTTAAGTAATTGGGATCGGCTTAGTCCATTTGTGTCGCTATAAAGAATACCTGAGGGCGAGTAATTTATACAGAAAATTGGTTTATTTGGCTCATGGTTCTGCGGGCTGTACAAGAAGCATGGTGCTGGCATCTGCATCTGGTAAGGGCCTCAGGCTCTTCCACTGGTGGCAGAAGGGAAGGGGAGCTGGTGTGTGCAGCAATCACATGGCTTGAGAGGAAGCAAAAGACAGCTGGGGAGAAAGGTTCCAGGCTCTTTTTCAAAAATTGATTAATTTGTTTGTAGAGATGGTGTCTGTCTCTGTTACTCAGGCTGGTCTAGAACTCTTGGCCTCAAGCAATCCTCCTGCCTTGGACTCCTGAAGTTCTGGAATTATAGGCCTGTGTCACCATGACCAGCCTAAGTTCTTTTCAACAACCCGTTCTCACAGGAACTAATAGAACCAGACCTCACCCCACCCACCCCCAAGGAGAGCCTTAATCTATTCATGAGAGATCACCCCATGACCCAAACACCTCCCATGAGACCCCACCTCCAACATCGGGGATCAAATTTCCACATGAGATTTGGAGGGGACAACATCCAAACCATAGCAGGAGTATAGCAGTTGTGTGGCTTTGAGACCCTGCTCTATTATAATCCTTGAAAAAGAAAAAAAGACATTGTTTTCATGTTTTTATTTTTAAATATGCTACAAACGCTTTCTTTTGTTAATTCCAAAAGATAGATAATTAGATGAAGTGGTACCCAGTACAAAGGTTAGAGTTATGCAAAGAGGAGCTGAACTTCTCTTAACGAAGAGTTAACAGGCAAGTTTTTAACCCATTTCATAGAGAGCAGAAATCATAAGACCAAATATCCCAAATGGATATTAGCAAGAAATTTAAGATAATAAAGCAGCATTTTATTCTAGTGTTCATATTTGAAATTAGAATTCATTTGACATAGTGCCAATTTAATAACTTAGAACCCAAACCAGCCTTTTGTCAGCCCTAATAATAAGGTTATAGAATTAAATAATGGGCCAGGCATGGTGGCCCACACCTATAATCCCAGCACTTTGGGAGGCCAAGGCGGGCGGATCAAGAGGTCAGGAGGCTGGCCAGCATGGTGAAACCCCATTTCTATTAAAAATGCAAAAAATTAGCTGGGCGTGGTGGCGTGCACCTGTAACCCCAGCTACTTGGGAGGCTGAGACAGGACATTTGCTTGAATCTGGGAGGTGGAGGGTGCAGTGAACCAAGATTACACCAGTGCACTGCAGCCTGGGCGAAAGAGCGAGACTCCATCTCAAAAAAAAAAAAAAAAAAAGAGAGAGAGAGAATTAAACAATGGTTGGAGAAGGATACTGAAAAAAGTTGGTGTATTAATCCGCTCTTGCACTGTTATAAAGAACTACCCGATACTGGGTAATTTATAAAGAAAAGAGGTTTAATTGGCTGACGATTCCACACACTGAACAGGAAGCATGGCTGGCGAGGTCTCAAGAAACTGACAATCATGTCGGAAGGCAAAGGGGAAACAGGCGCATCCTACATGGCTGGCGCTGGAGGAAGAGGGCGAGGGGAAAGGTGCTACACACTTTTAAACAACCAGATTTTGTAAGAACTCACTCACTATCAGGAGAACAGCAAGGGGGAAATCCACCCCCCCCCCCCGCCCCGCCAGCAGGCCCCTCCTCCAGCACTGGGGATTACAATTCGAGATGAAATTTGGGTGGGGACACACATCCAAACCATATCACTTGGGTGGGAAGAAACAGATGATAATGGAAAAGTTGTGGAGAGAATGATGTTTGCAAGCGTTCTTTGCCAGTGGAGGGCGGGGCAGGGAACGGAGGCGAAAATGGGATCTTAATTATAATGCAAAATTTCTGTTTAAGACCAGGTGTCTTTTACATGCTTACAATAAGTTACTTTCACTTTTCTGAGTATTTTTTATTTTGTTGATGTGCTTCTAATCAGAAACAGTTTTATAAACTACACAGCTACTGAACCAATTACGTTTGAGTCTGATGAAAGGTATCCCCATTATAGGTATAAATAGACCCGTTAGCATCACTGCTGATTGATGAAGAATTCCAGGTCTGCAAAAGCCAGCTCTATTTTAAGTGCTCCTTGTCAGCACCCAGCTTTGGAGTTAACCTCACTCAATTGTGTTTCTTTGCAGGAGAGAGATTACATGAGGCTAAACCACAGAGCATTCAATCTGTCTGGTGAAAGTGTATAAACACTTTCTAGTGTGGTCATAAAAACTATGATTTCTCCCTTTACTCTGTTAAGTGCACTCTTAGCTAGCAAAGGTATTCAGAAAGAAGAGAGGGAAGGTTCAGCCGGCCAAGGACTGACATGTAGAAAGGGAAAATGTGTCCATGGCTTACCTTTGTGTTAATGTTTCCTGCTCCCTTAAGATTAATCATTAGGCATCTCAAGGATGATCAGTGTTCAATTACTTCTTTAAGCCCATGTTCCAACTAGGTGTTTTGTTTGTTTGTTACTAGCAATTAAAATCCATACCAATATCTTTAGTTTCTAACTTCCTTTTTTCCTGCTGTTATCTATGGTAAAGGATATGTGCAGAAAAGAGAAAATTTGAGTCCTAAAGAGGCTGGATAGAAGAGAAGGGGAGAACATGAACTTAACTAAGTTAAAACCCTAGGTTCAAAACTTGACATGGACACTTACTAATGGTGAGATCTTGGTCAATTAAATGACCTTGTCTCTATTTGACTTCATTTCCTCATACATAGAATAATATAGTAACACTATCCCTTTGGTAGTTATTAAGATTATATTAGTTGGCCAAGCACAATGGCTCATGCCAGTAATCCCAGAACTTTGGGAAGCCAAGGCAAGAGGATCACTTGAGGCCAGCAGTTTCAGACCAGCCTGGAAAATATAGCAAGACTCCTTCTCTGAAAAAAAAAAAAAAAAAATTTTAATTAGCTGAGTGTAGTGGTGCATGCTAGTCCTAGCTACTCAGGAGACTGAGGCAAGAGGATCACTTGGGCTCAGGAGGTTGAGGTTACAGTGAGCTATGATCATACCACTGCACTCCATCCTGGGTAACACAAAAAGACCCTGTCTCTAAAAATAAATAAACCTAATTTAATTTAAAAAGGTTATTAATAAGTTAATAAGTGCCAAGTACTTAGAAAACTGCCTGGCATAGAACAAGTACAGAGTTACAGTGACCACTAAGTAAGTGTTGCCTATTCCCCCATGTCACAGAAGCAACTTACCATCACTTTTCCTAGTTATTCACAAAATACTGGCCACTTTGAGGACTATAACTGGACTCTTGACTACAACTTATTTCTCTGACTTTGCTTTCTCAATCCTCTTTCCACTCTTCTCAACTTCTGCCTGCCCTTGAAAATGCAATCCTCTTAAGGGTCCTAATTTGAACTTCTCCCTTTCCTTCTATACTTTCTCCCTGTTTATCACCTCCCAGTGCCTTTAATTCAGGCCCTCCCTACCCCTCATTCCCCTCACCACACACCAGACACAGCCCAATACAGATGCGATCTTTATGCCTCAGTGATATTGGTCAAAAAAATACTGACCATAGCCATTTCGTCTCTATCTTTTCTCCTAGAATTCGAATTTATTTCCTTCTCTCTTCATCTCCTATCTTCTACCCAGCTTTTGATAAATAATTTTGAAGATATGTTTTGTAAAATGTTTAGTTAGCAAAGCAATCTCATCTAACTTCTAAAGTTATATGTAAATTTCAGTTAACCATGCTATGTCTATAAAGTCTATGCTTTTATGTTGAATGTTCAAATTATTTAATGGGTTTTCTAGAAAAAATTAGTATTGAAGCAATTCAGTCTGGACACTAACGTTTTCATACTTCCTAGTTAATTATCCTCCCATCTATGTTTACAAACAAAAATGTGGCTTATTGCTAATGTTACTACTTAACCTTCCTTATACTTGATTTGAATCTTTTCAGCATTAGTCTACATTGAAAATATGTCAGTGCTACAAACTGCATCTCACAGAAAGCTCAGAATTCATTGACCCATTCTGAAATATAGTTTTCTGGAACCAAGGTAGACTTTAATCGTACATAAATGATTTGTAAGACTTTCTTCACTTATTACAGTCCATGTCTCACATAACTCTCCACATAGGAAGAGACTGGGGAGAGAAAGGAAATTTCAATGCTCATTCATAGAAGAAAAAAAAAGGAATAGATTCAATTAAGAATCCAATAGAAAATACAAGAAACCCTTAACATAAGATTATTTGAGAAGGGATTAGTTATACAGGGACTATTTGCAAAGTTGTATGATAGGAGAAACACAAGGGATACTGCAGTCAGTTGGGGGTTAGTAGTGGCTGAGCTGATCACCCAAGGCCCAAATGACCAGAGAAGGAAGCAAGTAAAGAACCCAGAGAGGAGAAAATCTGCAAACTCAGCTGCCCTAAGAAAACCAATGACCTTAGGTGCAAAAGTCACAACCAGTTCCAAGCAATCGTGCCGAGTGGGATCCAGAGGATTAGATAATCCAACCTCACTCTCCTCCCCTTCTGTCTCCTTCTACGGCTTGCCATGGGCCCAACCTACCTGGAAGCCAAGAGGAATAAGGACCCTGTTGATGGAATCCATATAAAGCGTTCTCATATAAATTATCATCCAGACTGGGACACTTTTGAGGGTTAAGAAAGTTGTTAAAGTTAATTACCATTATTGCAAAAAAAAAGAAACATGCTACTCAACAATTATCTAACTATATAATTGTAGCTTTATACAATACAATTGTATTGTATAAAACTCACCTATGACTCTGTATATACTAGGACAAAACTGCTGTACCTGTTTGTCCTGCATATCTCACATCCACCTAACCCACATTGCCCTTCCACCTTGTCAGACTCTGTGAGTCCTACAGGCTGCTGCAGGCACCAGACCACACTAGCTAGTAGATCAAGTGGCTGGTAGGGAGGCATCGTTGGACACTTCCATCACCAGCAGAAATCAGAAAGGGTTAGCTGTCCCTAACCACTTGTGTCTGAGTGTACTTTGTTAAGCCAGTGCGCAACCTGCGTGCTGTTCTTGAAAGGGAGGTGTTGGTTAGATTACATCCGAAAGGGGTCAGGGAAGGAGAGGCTGTTTATCACTTAGTAGTCTTTCAGATTTAACCCTATATTAAAGCAAGAACTTCGTTCTCTGCACATGCATCTCATATAATACTAGACAATACTATAGAAGCTGGAAATACAAACCCACTCTGAATAATTTTAATGTAACTATTAATAACTTTGTCACCAAAAATGAACATTTTGAGGCAAATGTTAAACTGATCAAGAGATCTGTGAAATCAAGATTATCCCAGGCAAACCTGAGCATATGACTCCCTGTCTCCATCCAGGTCACCATTCCTGCACAGAGGATGGGATAGAAAGGAAAGCTGGGTGAGGGGGATGGGCAGCAAATGGAAATTAACAAACAAAATACGGGGACTTAGGTCATCAATGGAATAGAAGAAATTGAGTTGGGCTCCTGTGATTTAAGGAGAGAGGTCACAGAATAGTTACCATGTTATCAAACGCAGGCAATTGAAAGGCCCCAACATCAAGTTCATCTCTAAATTAACCTGTCTTTCTGACACCACAGAGCAGACTCCTCTTACATTTTATAGATAGATTCAGACATGTACCTCAGAGGTGCCAACAAGGACATCTCTTCTGCCCAAGCATTTGTCCTCAAAGAGCAGAATGTTTATAGACATCTCAATGTTAACACAATTTACCACTTTGAAAGCACCAAATGTTTGGCTATTATTTGATTATCATCCTGATTCCAAAAACCTCTTGTGAAATTTTTGATCAGTTTCTTTTTATTATTAACATGTATGTATATATGTATGTATGTGGAGACAGGGTCTCACCATCTTGTTCATGCTGGTCTCGAACGCCTGGGCTCAAGGGATCCTTCTGCCTCAGCCTCCCAAAGCGCTGGGATTCCAAGCATGAGCTACTGCACCAGGCCATTCATCAGGTTCTGTTAGTCTTCAGTGTCATAAACTTCTTCCTTAGTTCCCAATCACTTACAGTAGATTTCTGCACACCCTCAGGCCTGAAGTGATGAGTTTCATTAGAGTTGCAGAACATTAGAATACCTTTACTTTCAGCCAAAATAAAACCTATATTTTACTGATCCTGGTATCATGGTGTACATTTTAGGTTAGACCACGCATAATATATATCAAATTTGTGGGTGGTTACCACTACAATGAATATCTCCCTGTAATAAAAGTGTTTCTGGGCTCCAGCCAAGAGCCCACTTTATGAAGTCACATTTGATAAGGATAAATTCCAGTTCAGTGAACAAGATTACGGTTTGTCATAAAGAGATTTATGTATATCATTTAAGTAGTTTTAATCTGTATTCTTTTTGTGGTTCTGATCTAATGGTTTATGTTTTGAGCTTCTACCAGAAGCCTGGATCTACCAAAAGTTTTTAAGTTGGATGTTATGAAATGGTGAGAATATCAGCAAATGTTTGGTAATACAGATGAACATGCAGGCATTGAATTATTAAAATGAAACTAAGCTTATATTTGAATATAATTGGTAGTAATTAACCTGACCAAGATGGATATGAGTAAATGCTTTATCTCTCAGCTTTCTAAGAGACTAAGTGAAAATACACAAAACAAATAGATTGACAATATATGTTGTTTTGTTTCTTAGCTAGATATTATATGCTATTCTGTTAAACTGTAAACCAATATGTTACCTCTATTTTTATCCAAGTCTATTGAACAATATTACATGTATATTACACATATATTTATAATATATATGTATATTATATATATACATATTATATTCTGATTAAATGTGAATATACATATATAATATGTATACACATGTATATTATAAATATATGTGTAATATATGTATGTCTATATATTATATGTATAATTATATGAATATATTTCAATAATTTATGAAATTTCAGTAAGTGATAAATCTTGTGAAGAGTTCTGATTAAATGCAAATGGTGGTCCCAGGGATCTCCTACAATTCAGAAGTCACCCAAAGGTCACATGAGTGCAGAATATAAATGTTCTACATTTTCTGGTACAGGGATCACTTCCACTTATGCCCTCAGGTCCTGCTGCTCCAAGACGTACAGAAATGGGAGTCTGCTCCTCTGTTTGGAGACCCAAGTAGAATATCATCACTGGCTTACCTAAAAGGACAAAGAATAGGCCCACCTAGTAATAGCTAGTTTGGGGTGACAAACCTCAAATTAAAGGTGAGGAAGAAGGATTATATCCTCCACACTGAGCTTTATAAAACTTAGGGAAAATAAGAAAAAAAACAAAAATGTTTTTCAAAATCTCACAGAAAATAATTTAAAATTGTTCAAAATAAATAAAGGAGAAATAAACATGTGGAAACAAGTTAATTGGACTGGAGGAAGAGGAGGACTCAGAGACAGACAACCTATATTTGTTTTGCATTATTTCCGAATAAATACATACAGTAGTTGCTTTTTAATCTCATATTAACAAATACCACAGTAGGAATAGTTCACAATCATGGAGCTGTGTGATAATCCCTTCCCATGCAGCAATTTCCTTTGACCCTCACAAATAGCCCCAGGATGTAGATACTATATCTACCCCTATCTCACTGAGCTCAGAGAGTTCTAGAAAAGTGCCAAAAATCATCATGCCAATTAGTGGCAGTAAGAAACCTTGTACGTGTTCATATTCACCTCTAATTTTTTGTTTCAGTCTTCAGCGTGGATTCACAATTAGATTACTTCTTTTCACAGCATGCCTTCAATTTCTTTTCTGCAATTACTGCACTTAGCAAAAGACTGTGTAGGTAGTGAGTACTTGGCTTGAGTCTTGATTAACTAGACCTAGGCACACGAGGATGAGGTTCATCCTCGTGTTCAGAGCACATTAGTACAGAATGAGCATACTAGGAAGAAGAAAGAGAATCACTAAAGCATTTTAAGGAAAACAGTGCTGTAAGTAAAAATCTTCAGCAGGGACGTTGCCTTAGTAATGCCCAGGAAATCCTGTGAGAAGGAGCATTTCACACCAGCAAAAAGCTACTATTCAGACTTCATGGACAAAATGAATCATTATGAGGAGTGTAACATCGAAGGGGAGATAAATTGCTAGTTGACATCATCCAACAAAAAGAAGGATAAACAGCCATTTTGAGTCAATTGGTCTCTGAATAAGTTAATTATCTTGAGTATCATCCTCACTGGAAATCAGCCTACATGTCTACATTACTCCTTAATTGTGAACTTTCATAGATCAGACTTAAAAAACAAAAACTGTTATGAATAGTCAGTATTTCTAAGTGGCTACCACAGGCAAATCATCATACAGAACAATAAAATAATAATTCTGAAGAATTTGCAAATTTAAGGAGATATATATAATATAGACACAATGAATATATTAATATGCAGTACTTAAATATATTCATTAATTTTAATAGGCATTTTTTCTATTAGCAATGTTCAATTGGAATAAACTTTAATAGTAACATAGAGAAAGACATGATTTATTAAATTCTGAAAAGGATTTATAAGATGAAAATATATCTGAAGGATATGTCATGACTAAGTCATCAATTGTAAATTTCTTAGAGATACAGAATATTATCATTAAAAATTCAATAAAGACAGAGAAGAGTTAAGTTAATGTGGCCCAGTCATGGGGCTCTTTCTGTTTATCTAGCTTGCTAAAGAAATTATTTTTTTTTTTTTTTTTTTTTTTTTTTTGAGACGGAGTCTCGCTCTGTCGCCCAGGCTGGAGTGCAGTGGCGCGATCTCGGCTCACTGCAAGCTCCGCCTCCCGGGTTCACGCCATTCTCCTGCCTCAGCCTCCCGAGTAGCTGGGACTACAGGCGCCCGCTACCACGCCCGGCTAATTTTTTGTATTTTTAGTAGAGACGGGGTTTCACCGTGTTAGCCAGGATGGTCTCGATCTCCTGACCTCGTGATCCGCCCGCCTCGGCCTCCCAAAGTGCTGGGATTACAGGCGTGAGCCACCGCGCCCGGCCTAAAGAAATTATTTTTAAAAAAACTTAGAATAATGATTAGAATTTATTTTAGACCATATTTCCAAATGAAAGTGGCCTCAACCAGAGCTTTGTCAAACTGAAATTCAACATTTAGGTATCTCAAGACAGCATGGAGTAAAATATTCTGCAGGATTTGTTGAAGACAGAGTCACCAGCTTTAAATACATTAAATGTCAGTGTTTTGAGGAGGAAAAGAAAAAATTTTCAAGGTCAGAATCCCAACTTTCATTCTTACTTAGGGGAGGGTCATCTCATTTCTGCTAAAGATAAACTACAGACATACCTGTGAGCAGCACCAAAATATCTCTTAAGAATTAACTTTGCCTTTGTTCAAATGTTCAAACAATTTAAGCTGAGACCCCAAATTTCTGCACCATATAGTATAAATAAAGCTATAATTTCAGTCTACAAAAACTGAAAGACAGTTGTTAAAGTCAGTGATTTAAGGGGGGGAATAAATCTCAATATTGCTGATAACTTTTATTAAATAAGATGTGTCCTTTTTTGGAGATAAGGATACACAGCATCAATGACGTTTCTCAGATAATTGTGTGTGCATTTATTAATATTTCACTTTAGTTATAGATATTTGTTCCTTGAAGGCAATCCTTACACCAGCACATCATCTCTTTTTTTCTGAAACTGAATTTCCATTGTCTTCTCTGATCTGGTTGAGAAACTAAGTTAAGTTGGAATCGTGAACACTAGGAGGGATGAAGCCATGATGACCTTTGGCTTCATCAGTCTTATGAAGAATGGTATAGTACACAGGGTTATAAAGCCACATTCTGGTCTAGTTTCCATCTGGCCACAAAAAGCCCTGTAGTAATGGGCAAGTCACTTAACCTGTCTGGGTCTCAACGTCCTCATAGGCAAAATGACAGAGAAAGAGCTAAATGAGTATTTTGCAAAATATACTACATACAGTACTAATGGTATATCAGCTGATACTGGGGCAAACATTCTGAATTTTTATAATTATGTATCCTAGTGTGTATTATGAGTAATACAACCCACAAATCAAACCCATAAATGTATGCATGTCTATTATTTAGAACAAGTAAAAAACAGAAAATGTATTTAAATTTGATTTTATTAAATTATTAAGTAAATAATTTATAGATGATACATGGATATAGTAAAAATTCTGAAGGTGGTATTTGAAGAACTGAAGATTGGGAAACACAAATGAATGATCTCTAAATCCCTCTCCATCAAGAAGAGACTATATTTTTAATGAAAGAATGATGACTGTCAAAGCTAGAGAATTACTTTGTAAACCAAAATAGATGATATCAGATTGCCAATCAGACACAGCTTTTCAATAAAATCCTTTGTTCAAATGAAAGCAGACTGAAATCATTGACTGGCTAACAATATTGCAGAATGGCGTGATTTCAAAAGACTCTTTAAATGAAGAAGAGATGAAAACAAACTCATTTTCCCATGTACCTTCTTTCCTTTCATGCTGTCTTTCATGTCTTCCCAAAAAATGTGAATCCCAAAACGCTTCCTGTTGCCCATGTGCCCACAATGGGCTCTTGTGCTCTCATCTGAGACAGAGGCTGTTCCATCACTGAAGGATATTTTCTTGCAATTTCTAAGGACAGAATTACTTATTTTGGAATTTATCTGCAATTTTTTTTTGTGGAACAAATTTTTGTGGGAAGAAAAGTGAATGTTTTAAAGGGAAAGGAGTAAATTACTCTGTCACTGATTTTTCTCTGAATTAAGCCACTTTTTAAAAGGCAAATAAAGAAAATTTCTATACACTTAAACAGTACTCCAAACACTTCTGTGTGAACATCTTGAATATTTGAAATCATGTAAAAGAAAGCTCTGACTATAAAAAGAGAAAGCACAAAATAGATAGTGCTCTGTTTGTGTACTGCAGGACAAAAAAATAAATTTGCTTCATGGAACATAGGAGAACTTACATAGTATCATAGCTGCCAGTTGTTTGAAGAGATTGGCCTATAAGGTCCTTCTTAATGTTAGTATTCTATGTTCCTGATTCTAAAGAACTAAGAGGAAAATATTTCATACAAGTGAGGAAAATGGCATAATAAAAATAACACATTAAAGAAAATTAATAGAAATATTTCATTTCATTTCTAAAATAGAAAAACATATTCCTAAAATCAGAGAAAGTAGAAAAAAAGCATATTCCTAAGTCATCAGGAAGAAATTGGTTCAATTAGAATGTTTCAATTGACAAGACATTCAGATTGTCAATTGTCATGGATTCAGATATGATGTCTATTATTTATGATGCTATTTACGTTAGCAGCTTCTGTGCGGTTGGTGTGAGTTCCTAAAAGGTGTCCATCTGAGGTTCTCCTGGAAGTGCAGAAAGCCATTTCTGCAGCAGACCAAAAGAATCAACATATGTTTAGAACATTTCCATGTGGCATGTCAAAATCAGCATTTCCCCAACCATCTTTCACATCCAAAAACACAAACAGGCATGCACACAGTCTAAGCTCCCACATATAGCTTTAAAAGCTCTCATTAGAAGAAAGCAAATTGTTTACTTCTCTTTTGCTAAAAAAGCTTTCTTAAATAGCTTTTTAAAAATTCGATTGTATTAATAAAACACCTTAATTGGCCAACTTCAATGAAAATCTTTACATGTGGAGAACTATTAAAGGGTCTCAACATAGAGGGTTGGAGTGGTTGGGAGCCATAGAAAAGGTTCCTATCTTATTATTTAAATATCCTAGAGAAGAAAAACAAAAGACTATGGATGATTTTTCTCCCCTTTCATTTGGAAGTCATTTGTAGACTTTCCTTTGTTCCATTGAGAAATAAGAGAAAAAAATATATAAGTTACAGCGAACCCATATGGCCAGCAGGAAAATCCTATTTAATTGCTTTATTGCAAGAAATGTTAAATCACTTCCTGAGGATGCAGTTCAAATGAAACATATGGCAACTATTAGCAAAAGCCCCTAATGGATTCAAAAATATGCCTTTTATTGGAGCTTTCTCATAAGCATCAATTATACATGTTATTTAAATTGTATATTCAAATAGGCATTCGGTGTTTTAGTTCCAAAAATGTTGATGAACACCTACTCTGTACCATACTATACAGTCAGCTTGTGTGAAATGTTATTTCTGAGCCCAGAAATAGATATGACATGATGGGACCTCAGGACATGGACCCAAATCTATCCAGGTCCCTTCTCAGAAACCAAGGATGAGAAGAATCCCCCAATCAATGCCTCCTGCCCAAGGGTTTCACGCCCAAGAAAACCATTCCATTTCTACTTGGATAGTTCTAATGATCTATATTCTTCGCACTCTTTTTAATGACACACCAGTGATGTGACTAATCATTCGTGTTCAGCATCCATTCTTTGCCTTTTTTGGAACTTCTTTGATTACATTGTGAATTCCACAAAGAAGAAAACTTTGCTAAGAGTTTTTTTATCTAGGATAATGTGAGGCATGTAATTAAGAATTAACAATCCGCTTTAACTAACGGTAGAGCAAGTGTCAGCATTTTTCAATTGTTTCTAATGCCATTCATCTCTGGAAAATTTCAGAAATTTAACAATGTAATATATTTATTCATAAACAACTTTCTAGAGAGACAGTTCTCCCTCAAATTCAAAGATAAATCATTGGAGGAATATCCACCTGTTATCACTATGTGGTTTTACTCTTAAAAAGAAGTTATAAAATTCTAGGAATACTACACTTTGACTATCCTTTCTCTACATTGTAATATGGTCTTTGAAGTTATGTAATGGAAGTGAGTTTTGGTAGCTTAAAAGTCATGCAGAGTGTGGTGACATTCTAACGTAATTGGCATTGGCTACATGAAATATGGACATTGGCCATAAGGAGGCTAAAATGTATTTTTGCTTGATACCCCAACTCACTGATTATCATTTTTATTAAATATTTAATTACACATGCATGGTTATATACTTTTGAAATCAAATAAAATATAGAAAAGGCTTGTTTTTGTCACTGGTCAACTTGTGATTTGGGGCAAAGCTTTCAACTTGACTTAAATGTGTTTGCCATGAAAAGAGAGGGCTTCTTTAGACAATGCCTAAATGTCTCATACAAAATATTCCTATAGAGGTATTTTGTGTTCTAAGTAAATGTCTTATCATAAGACCAATCCAAACTTTTTTCCTCCTTCATTTCAAAATAAGTCTGTTTAGTGTGGCTCACAGGCCAGCATGCCTGTATTGTGCCTTGCTTCCGTTAGTGACAGCATGACCTCACAAAAGTTACTTTACCTTCCAGGATTTTACAGGGTGTTCTAAAGATGTGGTGAATTTCTGCAGTCAAAAGCTTAAAACTGGGTCATACACAAACTAAGCACCCAGTAAGCACTAGCTATTTTTATCCTGAGGAACTTTCTCCAGGAACATTCTTTAATTACCTGTCACCAACTTTTCCAGTCTTGTTGAAAAAAGAAAGGTTTCTGTTTTATTTTTCTGTTCGTTCACTTTTCACAAAAGAGCGAATGTATTTTAAAACCCCCAATCAGGGGTAAATTTAGGGGCTAGACTTAACATTTAATACATAGTTTGGATTTAATTCTATTTTTAAATATGTTTTAAGGGACACATAGAAAGTAAACAAACATTACCAAAACTGTAGGATCACTTGTAAAAGAAGGAAATTGCTTTCCTCTAGTATTGAATCAGAGAAGTTCTTGAAGAAGAAGAAAAGTCAGATGACTTCTTAACAAATGAAAGAATGCCCAGGAAATGCTGGCAGCCTATGCCATTTGTTGGAAGCCCTGATCTCTGGGCCTGATCCCCCAAGCTGCCATTTAATCTATACGTCTGCATCTTTGGAAGCATGCGGAGAAACGGTTCACACCCAGAGAACAGTGCTGAACAACGAAATGTAGATTGAGATTGAGTCAAAATATGCTTTCAGTACAAATTAATCTTGCCAAAGTAACTCCCCCCATCTCTACCTTTTTTTTTTTTTTTTTTTTTTTTTGACAGAGTCTCTCTCTGTCACCCTGGATGGAGTGCAATGGTGTGGTCTCGGCTCACTGCAACTTCTATCTCCCGGGTTCAAGAGGTTCTCCTGCCTCAGCCTCCTGAGTAGCTGGGATTACGGGCACCTGCCACTATGCCCGGCTAATTTTTGTATTTTTAGTAGAGGCGGGGTTTCACCATGCTAGTCAGGCTGGTCTCGATCTCCTGACCTCAGGTGATCCACCCGCCTCGGCCTCCCAAAGTGCTGGGATTACAGGGGTGAGCCACGGTGCCCAGCCTCTACTTTTTATCCATAAGGAAATCTTTACCTTAGCTGAATTATTGCATCAATCACAAAATCCCCTAAATCCCAAAGGTGAAGATCTCAGCAGTAACCAATATTTCACAAGGATATAGACGTCTTGATATTTGCTATTTCTCGAAATGAAGATTGATGCTCTTTTCTTGGGCTGATCCACAACAGAGCTGCACTTGGGCCTCTCTCTCTCTCTCTCTCACACACACACACACACACACACACAAACACACACACACACAAATACCCATTTGAGTGTGCTTTTCTTACTTCAACTCTGAGGATGTTGTCCCTGAAGAAATGAAGAAATATCACCTTTGGATCTATCCTGTGGTCAGTGATTATGGGGTGGAAGGCATCAAATCCCAATGGGTCAGTTAATACATCCTCAACTATATTTTATACGTGAGTAACTGAGATGAATGAGAACCAGAAAGTCAACTTGCTTCATTTGTTTAGTGGTATCCACAAACAGTAGAACTAGACAGTTAAGCTTTAAGTTCTTGGAAAGATCTCATTCTGAACCCTATTTTTAAAAATCATAACAGTGATAAATGCTGGGGATTGAGCTTCTAAATCTTTCACATCAGTCAACTAACCCACTGGACCAAGGCCCATTTTAATAAATAGTAAGAGTGGCTTTTCCCTGAAGATCTGGTACGCTTTATAGAGGCTGCTTCCTTTAGTTCTTTCAGCAATCCTCTGAAGTAGATGTGATTATCTAGATGCGATTAATAAAGAAGGAACCTGAGCCTTGAGAGGTAAGATACCTCACTTGTGTGCACAGAAAAAATAAGCAACAGGGAAGAGATTTGAAATGCCCAGAAACTAACGAATTTGCTTCTCTCTCCCAAAAATAGGACCAGAAAATGTTAACTACAAAAATTCTACCCCAATTCAAAGTGTTTTTAGATTCATTTATTGCCAATGTTGTTAGTTTGTTTGTTTGCGATGGGGTCTGACTGTGTTGCCCAGGCTGGAGTCTGTAGCACGATCATAGCTCACTGCAGCTTTGATCTCCCTGGGCTCAGGTGATTCTCCTACCTCAGCCTTCCAAGTAGCTGGGACTACCGGTGCATGCCACCATGCCCAGCCAATTTTTGTATTTTTTGTAGAGATGGGGTTTCACCATGTTGTCCTGGCTGGTCTCAAACTCCTGGGCTCAACGATCCGCCTGTCTCTGCCTCCCAAAGTTCTGGGATTACAGGTGTGAACCACCACACCCAGCCTATTGCCAGTGTTAAAGATAATATGGATGTGCATTCATTTGAGTCTGTCTTCAGAAAAGAAAAGAATTAGAAGATGATTTACAGTTATCAAAGACAGCTCTAGTGATTTTACTGATAGTTCCAAAATGCTAATTTTTCTATTGGCATTCTCTATTTAATTTTTGCGTCATTAATTACACTTCGTTTTATTTCTAATGATGCTTTCTGATGTTTCTTCCTAATAATACCACAATTTTTGTGTCTTTTTTTTCAGGCTATTCAAGGTATTTCAGAGAAGGAAAAGGCTGGTAAGTTGACATTTTGGTTCTGTTTTCTCGCCAATCTATTTTAGAATAAATTTCACCTTAAAATAGGCATTTTATTAAATATATAAAATGTATACATCTCATGAATATATGGGAAAATGTTGTTTAAATTCTGTAAAAGAAATTTGTTTTGCTCAATATGTAAGAAAAATATACGTGGTTTTCTGACATAATGACATTGTGTTAGAATAAGATATGTGTTTCTTGGGGTCTTCCTTGTAACTGCAACCACAATTTTTTTTTCTTAAGCAAAAGAATTAAATGTTGATCAAGGTTCTGGGGAATGAATTTGGAAATTAGTTATTAATAATTACCAAGGTTTATTTTTACTCTTAATGACTTAGTAGCCACAGAAAAAGATGTAATTGATGCTTAAAGCTGATGCCATACTATCAAAAATATAGTGATGAAGCAATGTGAATAATTGTATTGAAGAAAAAAATTATAGTATTTTTCTGTGTTCTGTGCTTTAATTATAATTATTTAACAGTATTATGGGAAATGGACAAGGACTGATGAGAAATGAAAATATGAAAAATTAGACATGGATTGGTAGATCTATGTGTTTTTAAAAAATCATACTATCTTATGTGTTCTGTGTAATAAAAACGAAAACAGATTAAAGGTATATTATCTAACTTGAAGTACATCACTTAGTTTGTAGACATTTGTGATTTTTAAGAGCTATATTAAAAGTTTATAGTCTCACCTTAGAGAAAATATTAAAATTTCAAGTGCCTTTACACTAAAGCAGTAGAGTTTGTCTGGCGGGGGTGTTTGCTGTCTATGTCAGTGACCTTATTTTTGCTGCTAGATAGTTTTTACACAGAATTTTCCTAGTTTGTGTCCTTCTGTGAGCTAAACTTTTCTCTCATGTTTAGGCTGTATCTCGTTTCTTCACTTTAATAATGTTGAAAAGTATCTCTTCAGAATAGAAGGAAAATATTGAACTGGCATCATATGTCAGCTCAAGAGAAAAATCACACAACATAACAATGTACTAATATCATAAGCATTAATATCAGGTTGGTGCAAAAGTAATTGTGGTTTTGGCCATTACTTTCAATGGCCAAACTGCAATTATTTTTGCATCAATATATTTACCATATATTGAATGGATTTAAAGTTTTAAATCTCCAGTATCTTACATAGCTGTCCCCATAATTCACTGCAATTTAAACAAAGTATATAACAGAACAAAGTTGTCATCCTATTCCAGAATGTCAGCAAGTTTTTTCACACCCCAAGAAGAAAATGAGGATGTGAGTTGTTGGCTGGTCAGGAGGGGAAAGAAGGAATGGAAATGCCATGGCTGGCGGAGACAGGAAGGCAGAGAGTTCTCTTTCTCCTCTTCCAGTTAAATGGCTTAAGTTTGGCAGGGAGAAACACTTCATTCTGTCAAGCTTCTCAAATATTTTGAAAATATTTTTATTTTTAATATTTTTTTTTGAGATGGAGTCTCACTCTGTTGCCCAGGCTGGAGCACAGTGGTGTGATCTTGGCTCACTGCAACCTCCACCTCCCAGATTCAAGCCATTCTCCTGCCTCAGCCTCCTGAGTAGCTGGGATTACATGCCTGCGCCACCACACCAGGCTAACTTTCGTATTTTTAGTAGAGATGGGGTTTCGCCATGTTGGCCAGGCTAGTCTCAAACTCCTGAGCTCAGGTGATCCGCCCGCCTCGGCCTCCCAAAGTGCTGGGATTACAGGTGTGAGCACCTGGCATGAAAATATTTTTAAAACAAAGAACTAATTAGAGAACATAAATATAATGTAACCACTACCTTTTTGTCATAATCCTGGAAATTTTCCTCCTTAAGAACAACAATTTTTTTAATGAAATCAACTGTCCCTCCTTACATAATCTTTCTGAGTCATTTCTATATGGCTGAGGCACACATAAAAGAATCGAGAGATTAAATTTTCAGAGGTTCCATAAGATGACATATGTGATCTCCACAGGCCCCAGGATGCCCCATCTCAGATACCTAGCAACTCAGGATGGACTGATTTGAGCAAAATCTGACTTCTGCTCTTTATGAAAATATTAGAATGATTGGAATTTACTCCAGAATGAATTTCTATTTAGATTTCTGGAGGATATGCTGATATATTTAGGAGAAAATGTAATTTCATTTGATCATTTAAGAAATAAAGGATTTTTTTTCAAGGCAGTGAATTTACCTGTCAAGACAAATGTTCGTGTCTGAATATTTTATGAATCACGGTAACAAATATGACAATTCAAAAGAGAATGTGATTTATTTCAAAAGTTTTAAGTACCATAACAGTCTAAGCAATCTAATTCTTGTATTTCTAAACTTTATTATTTGAAACATTAAAAATATTTTGAGTGTTCTATATACAAATATAAATCTTGTTTCTTTCATGTCTTTATGAATCTCTGTAAGCTTCCGCTAGACAGAGGAATGGCCATGAAGGCAGGAGACCCACTCAATCTTCTCGGGGTTAATTGAGCTCTTAAATAGGATTAAGCTTCATACCCGCCCCTAAGGCCTGTCATTTTTTTTTTTTTTTTGTATCTTTCTAAATCAATGTAGCCTATTGTTCTTTATTAAGAAAGTCTATTTTTAATCTGTGTGACCTCTCATCCAAGCTAACTGGAACCAACTCTACCAGGCTTTGTGAAGCTCTAAATGAAATCATTTGGGGCACATTCCATTAATCATCCTTCAATTACAGTTGTGTGATTGCTCTGTGTGTGCTGTAAGTAGCTATCTTCTATTCTGATCCACGTTGCTATGATAATACAGCTCAGTGGGATCATTTCTGCTGCTTGTCTCCTGCCCTGTGATGACAGAAATCTTCAAAGGGAGGCAAGTTTGAAACAGCCTTTGAAACAGCCTTTTATGGATTCAGTCATTTCACAAATACTTACTGAACAGCAGCATGTTCTAGGCATTCTATTAGGTTCTACTGAGGAAGCAGTTATGAACAAGGCATGGCCTCTGCCCCATAGGAACTCAAACTCTAGTTGGAGGATATCCCATCAGGCAGGCATCCCTCCTTCTCCTCTTCTCAATTGAGAATTTCTTAACTCTGCTTATTCAAAAAGCTTCCCAGGCAAGGAATCAAATCAAAGTACTGTCTTCAGGAAACTCTGGATGAGAATGTGCCTTCTTAGGATCTGAGACAGAATCCAACCAACTTCTTTTTTAAATAATCAGAACTGATCACACAAGTATCGATATGTATAATTGTATCCAATAAATATCATTTTCATATAACTTCCATCATGTCGCTGGAGTCTGTATGCCTCAACCTTTTTGGCACCAGGAACCAGTTTCATGGAAAACAATTTTTCCACGGAGTTGGGTAGGGGAGGGTTTCAGGATGAAATTGTTCCACCTCAGACCTCAGATCATCATAAGGAGTGCACTGCCTAGAACCCTCACATGTGCAGTTCACAACAGGGTTCATGCTTCTCTGAGAATCTAATGCTGCCGCTGATCTCACAAGAGCCAGAGCTCAGACGGTAATGTTCGCTTGCCCACCGCCCATCTCCTGCTGTGCAGCCTGGTTCCTAACAGATCACAGACCGGTACTGGTCCAGGGCTTGGGGGTTGGGGATCCCTGCTCTAAAGAGTGAACCCGTCCCATTGGAATACCCTCAAGCACATCTGCTTCCTATCTGTATGGCCTTGAGCAAGTCACTTAACTTCCTCATCTCCCTCATTTCCAGAACACAAATCAAGAATCTGCCATGTTGTTGATGTAAGGCAACAATGCTTGGTACAAACTAAGTCCCAAAAAATGGTAGCTGTCTTTTATGATAATTGGTTGGTGCTTACAGGACAAATGGACACTCGCTGCATCACTGATGTCCTTGTGTGTTCCACAAGTCCTAAAATGCTTCCTCGTGGTACTAACAGCTGAACAGCTGTCCATGTGGAAGAAGAAAGATCACTTTCTCCATGATTCTTCTCAATGAATTAATTCAAAGATTGTCACAATATAGACAGAGGTGATCACATTTTAACCTCCCTTTAGAGATTTTTTTTTTTTTGTCTATTAGACTGAAATTCTCTCTTGGAAACAGGTAACATTTGATTTTCAAAAAAATATTAGTTTCAGAGAAATGTTTATGCTGTGTCCCATTTTCCCGTGATTCCATTATCCTCCTGTATCCACAGTCCCTGAGGTCATCAGATCCTATCTACCAAGCAAGCCAGCTAGGCGCCTGGGTTCTCCTGCCGCTCCCAGGCTCCTCCACCTTCTACACACCGTGCTGTCAGCACCGCCCTCTCATCACCCTTGTCCATTCCTCTGGCCACTGCTTCCATGCAGGCCTTCACTTTCCACTGGACTTTCACAAAAGCATCCAGAACTGGTTTCCCTGACTTAACCAATCATTACACCAGTCTATTATCTGCACTGTCACCAGAGTTATCTTTGAAAATATATAACCTGATCATGTCAGTTCCTGTGCCAACATTTTATCTGACTCTCTATTAGCCACAGAGTAAAATTAAACTGTCCTGGCTGGCCATTTGTCCATTCAGGAGTGACCTGTCCATACATGGCCATTTGTTATTCAGACGCAGTATCATTCACTGGACCGGATACATGTCTGTGTTGCCCCTCAGATCCACCCTCTGCCCTACTTCTCCCTGCCTCTGTGCCCTGGGAGGCCGACCAATGTGAACTAAATCAAAGGACTTCCCTCCTTTCTGTCTTCCTCATTCAGCCACGAAGAGGACGAGAAGCTCTAGCAGGAGACTGGGGGAGGGGGATGGTGGGACAATGAGGTTGGAGAGTTTGTTTTTAAGTTCAATGTAGATTTACTTTATTTTATGATGTTCTGCGATACATGTGCAGGATGTGCAAATTTGTTACGTAGGTAAACGTGTGTCATGGTGGTTTGCTGCACCTATCAACCCATCACCTAAGTATTAAGCCTAGCATCCATTATCTCTTTTCTCTAATGTTCTCCCCACACCATCCTCCCCAAAAAAGGCCCAGTGACTGTTGTTCCCTCCCTGTGTCCATGTGTTCTCATTGTTCAGCTCCTACTTATAAGTGAGAATATGAGGGGTTTGGTTTTCTGTTCCTGCTTTAGTTTGCTGAAGATGATGGCTTTCAGCTTCATCCATGTCCCTGCAAAGAACGTGATCTCCTTCCTTTTTTTGGCTGCGTTGTATTCCATGGTGTATATGTACCACATTTTCTTTATCCAGCCTATCACTGATGGGCATTTGGGTTGATTCCATGTCTTTGCTATTGTGAATAGTGCTGCAATGAACATATGTGTGCATGTATCTTTATAATAGAATGATTTATACTCCTTTGAATATATACCCAGTAATGCGATTGCTGACTCAGTGGCATTTCTGGTTCAAAATCTCTGAGGAATCGCCACTGTGTCTTCTCCAGCTTCTGGGAGTCACTGTTGACTTCTCTTACTTAGGCTGCCATTTGCACTAAGCTTCCAAATTGTGACAGCAATTCTCTCCTCTGGCCCTGGGGTTTCCCATTATAAATGGTCCTGTTATTAAACTCCCCTCAATGTGCCTAACGTGCATTTGTTTCCCGCAAGGAGCCTCACTGATATACTTCTGATATTTTCTATTTTTTCTATTTCTTCATTTTGTTTGTTGGTTGCTCAAACTTTAACTACCATAGAATCCCTCGTAGCTCTCTGCTTTCATCTTCTGCCTAGGTCTGTGGCATGCAACTGGCACCAGATGATAGGCGGAGATAGAGAGAGGCAAAGTGAAAGATGGCTTAACCAGAAAAAAAAAAAAAAAAAAAGATGAGGAGCTTTTTTTTTTTTCTTTTTTTGGGAAGGAGTTTTGCTCTTATTGCCCAGGCTGGAGTGCAATGACACGGTCTCGACTCACTGCAACCTCCAACTCCTGGGTTCATGCAATTCTCCTGCCTCAGCCTCCCAAGTAGCTGGGATTACAGGCACCCACCACCACACCTGGCTAATTTTTTTTTTATATTTTTAGTAGAGATGGGGTTTCACTATGTTGGCTGGGCTGGTCTTGAACACCTGGCCTCAAGGGATCCACCCGCCTTGGCCTCCCAAAGTGCTGGGATTACAGGCATGAGCCACCCCACCCATCCACATTTTTTTTTTTTCAAAGTAAATGAAAATAGTTTCATTTAATCCCATGGAGAAGAAATATACTAGCCTTATGACTTATAATGTGTTCTCTCTTGGAAAAGTAACACTGCATTTTAGTCACTAAAATATCACTTTGAGAATATTTGAGAACTATTAATATGGAGTAACATGAAATCCGTCATTCTAAAATTAAATCAAAGAACACTTCACAAATTTTGTCAGGCTACATAGCAGCCCATGCAAAACAAAGCATTATCATTAGCCAAAAATGGCTTAAAAAAATAGTTTCAACTTTTTTTTTATTCAGGGGGTACAAGTGCAGATTTGTTGCATGGGTATATTGCTTGATGCAGATGTTTGGGGTCCAGCTTTCCCCGTCACTCAAGTAGTGAGCATAGTGCCTAACAGGTTATTTTTATCCCCTGTCTTGAAAATCCTACTTGCTTCATTGGATCCAACAATAATATCACTTCTTTAATGACTTATTTCCCAGGCAGAACTAATCTTAGAGCTTATTCTGTGCTCCTAAAAAGCTACGTCTTTTCTGTTACAGTTTTATTATCTTGCTTAGCTGTGTGTCTTCTCTAGATCATGAACTTTTCTAGGTTAAGAATATTGTCTTTGTGTGTCCTGCAATTAAAATAGCTATTAAAATATAGATGTTCTGTAAAACAGGTGTTAATCAAGAAATTGTAATTATAAAAATGCTCTGGCTATAATCTTACTGACTTAGAGTTAACACGATTCTAAAGCTTTTTATTTAACCTTCTCCATTACTCCTACTACTCAACCCAACGGCCAAATATGTCAGCCAGGTCATGAATTAATGGTACTATTTGGGGATCTGTGCCACAGAAACGTGTAAAGGGGGCCATTGAAGAAGATGACTTAGAGCCTGACTTTGGTTGCTTTCCTTGGTCATTTTTCTCAGAATGTTTATTCTCCTGCCTGGAGCTTATTTGGTTGGCCATAAAATGTTAAAAATCAAGATAATGAATAATTATAGCCTGAAATTCTTGTGAAGGATAGCTTTCAGAAGCATATACCAGAGTCACGGTCTCTCCAAACTTTGTGTTGTGGTCATAAGACAGAAAATAGAAATGAAACACTTCTTTGTGACAAATGCGTAAGGGAAAAATCAGAATTTTCATAATTTTATTCCAAGCTCCTTGTAAACATACTAAATAACAAAGCCCAGACTTGATGCATTTTGGTATTAATTTTCTTGGCTGCTTTTCATCCCTGAGAAAGGAAATGCAAATGAATAACAACAACAACAACAACAAAAAAAAACTAAAATGGAAAGACACTTCCACTGTTCCCAGTCTGATCATCATTGCTTGGATCCAGAGAATGATTAATGTGATATATCCACTCTGAGCCACGCTCCAAGATATGCAAATCCAAAGAGATTTGCTGAAAAAATTAAAACAGGACTGCTCTATTTCAGACTTCTCTTTGGAAAGACTCTGCTCTGTTTTGTGTCTTCATTTTAGTATGGATCTGATTGGTTTTATTGCTGTCTCTCCCACTAGGCTGTGAACACCTTAAAAACATAATTTTGTTTCATTCAGCGCAGTACTCCCAATGCCTGGTATTATTGTAAAAATCAGCAAATGTTTTGCTCTATTTGCATGACATTCCCAAAGCCAAATGTAGAGTCTTATCTTTCTATTCTAAAGGAAGCTCTTCTTGTAACAGCAAAGACCCCCAGCTGTTTTATGGGGTTTAGCAAGACGTGAAAATTTTCTTTATCTAGCCAGCCTGGGCCTTGACCAACATTCCAAATTATTTATTCTCTTTCATTCTCAGAAAGTGAATTTCATTATTTTTACACTAATGGCTTATAAATACTTGCTTCAGTTTTTTTTTTTTTTAATGTATGAAGGCCTCTGCTTGCCTGCTTCTTTATGAGGAAAGAATTTAGGGTATGCCCACACATAACTTCTCAGTGTTTCTAAAACTTAATGTAAACTAATCCGTGAAAAGTTGGCTGTGGTTGACTGGGCTGTTGAAAGAAAACACATTAGCTTTCAGGTATCAAGGAATTCATGAAAAATATAAGTAATCTATTCTTCAATGCCAAAGATCTTGAACTCACAGGATTTTTAAAATACAGATAATTTTCCAAATATTTCTTCATTTTCTGTTGGTATTTTTGCTATTGCTAATTAGGTGAGACAAATCTACTGTATTACCAGAACCAATAGAACATAGTTTCTTTTCCTCTCAATTATATTTTAAGCAACACACGTAGATGACAATTTCTCTTTTAATATGTTCTGATTCAAATGTTTCCTCCCACATTTGAAGTGGTCTTCCCAGGTCTCTGCAGCTGAAAGTGGCACTTTGTTGGTATATTTATTATGGCATTTCATGTTTTCTGTGATGTATTTCTGTTCTTGAATTTTATGCTATATCAGGCTAAGAGCTCCTTGAAAGCAGAAACCTCCCATTTCGTTTTTTGTCACCCCGCATGCCATGTGATATCTTGCACAGAGTAGGTGCTCAAGAAATAGTTTTGAATCAATCTGTTTATTTGGTAGATGAAACAACTCATACAGACATTCAGCTAATCTCAGGTCTATCCATGTCCAGGACTTTTCATAATATTTGATGGACTTTTATTTCTCCTTCTAAAATGACTTATGCACATTTTGCTCCTCCCATTATTTCTTGGAAAGAATGGCTATCAGCAGCATGAAGAGGTGGCTGTGAACTGCCAGTATGGGCCAATAAGACAGCTTTGCATTTCAGTGCTTGCAATGCCATTGACCTCTTATCAGTAGAAAAATTAATATGTTATTTTCAATCTTCTCAGAAGAAAGACAATTTATGAAAGGGCCCTTTTGTATCCATTTTATCAAGAAAGCCACTAAAGATCTTCCATTTAGTTCAAAATCTGGCTGGGCATGGTGGCTCACGACTGTAATTACAGCACTTTGGGAGGCCGAGGTGAGCGAATCACTTGAGGCCAAGAGCTCGAGACCAGCCTGGCCAACATGGTGTAACTCTGTCTCTACTAAAAATACAAAAATTAGCTGGGCGTGGTGGTGCATGCCTATGATCCCAGCTACTCGGGAGGCTGAGGCATGAGAATTGCTTGAACCTGGGAGGTGATGGAGGGTGCAGTGAGCCAAGATCGCCCTACTGCACTCCAGCCTGGGCAATAGAATGAGACTCTGTCTCCAAAAAAAAAAAAAAAAAAAAAAAAAAACAAAGAATCTTATCTGATCATCTCTTAGATGTCTTCAAATTTTTACCTCTTTTGAGTTTCCAGTGCACAGTTTGCAGTTTAATTTTATTAATAATGTGAATATATACACAAATACGTACCCACAAGAAAAGTGTTGATTGATCCTAGTTTCTTTGGAGAGGTATGTTTACTTTGGAAAGTTACATGTAACAAGCTATTACTTTGACCTCACTGAGTATAAAACGACTTATAATTCTGCTGGCATGACTATACTTCTCGTATTGACCCTCCATTGGCTTGAAGCACTTTGATTTGTTTTCTGCAGGGAAGTTCAAAATCTCTTTCAATGGATTCCATAGACATTTCTATTATAGAATTAAGACATAATTTTTTAGATGTGTTTTATCAAAGTAGGAAACCTTAAAGAGTTATTAACAACCATAACAAATTCACCAGTGCCCAATAAATGGCTGGTGCCCATCTTCTTGTCTGCAGGCTGTGCAGAAATCTAATCTAATGCAGGAGAAGTGTGGATCATGGATTTAAGAAACTATTTTGTCCTGACTACTGTAATGAGGTAGAAAAGTTCTCACAGAGTTCTTAAATTTCTACTTAACTAAAATACTCACTAAAGAGTGCTGATGCACACATAGTAGGGTATTATATTTGTTTTTAAAATTTCCCAACCACGTTTCTGTGACTCACACCTGCTAATGTTATAAACTTCTTGTTAATGTAAACGTTAAATCAGTTCTTTTCTATGGATTTAAGGAAATAGATAAGTGGGGAAAATAACAGCACAGTTCATCACTTTTTAAAATTCCCCCTTTCTCTTTAAGTCTGTGATCCTCTTGGATATATTTATCTCAAAATTTTCCCCACTGAGCTGTGGTTTCCTAAAAGGCAGACATCTTCCCCGCACCTTGGTAATGCCAGCCTCTTAACAGATGTTTCGGTTGAAGTTTGTGGAATGAATAACTGAATTGGTAATAATAACAAGAATTTACTCTGTGCCTGCACTTTTCCAAGCACTTTATAGACATAAACTCAATTAATCCCCTAGCGACCCTATGAGGTAGGTGCTATTGTTATCTACATTATACAGTTGAAGAACCTGAGACTCAGAGAGGCTCCCTAAGATACCCAAAGTCACACTGTGGCCAAATCAGGATTCAAAGCCAGCAATGCAGACAACGGTGCATGCTCTTAGCCGCTATGCTATATGTAGTGGTTAAATGCCAAGACTTCTCAGGCTGATGAATAAATTTTTTCCGTAATCTGGCCTTACCCTTCCTTTTCACCCTAATTTTCCATCCTCTTCTAGCACGCACCTTCCTCTGTAGTCATGGTAACAACCTCACTTTTCTCCTGAAGTTGCTTCTGCATAACTTGACCTTTGCTCCTCCTGTTTCCCTTCCAGAAATTATCTACCCTAACCCCCAATGACTCATTTGTGTCCTGGCTTCCCGGTGAAGGTGAAGTCTTCTATGATAACTCCTGCTCACATTAATTTCATGCTTTCCGAAATGATATAACTATAGCACATCAAGTCTGAACTGGTCGTTTTTGTACTTGATCATTGATGGACTGTCATTGTCTTCTGAGCGTTCCATTTATCTCAGCAATGCTTTCCAACAGCTTTTAACAATCTTTTAAAACATGATGTAGCACAGTACGGTGCACCTAAAAGATGCTTATTTCATGAATAATTAGGCTTCAGTTTTAGAGCAATTTTAAGTTCACAGCAAAACTAACCAGAAAGTATAGTTCAAACTGTATGATATTCTGATGAAGCCAAACTATGGAAACAGTCAAAAGATCATTGGTGGTCAGTGGTTTGCGGAGACAGAGGAATGAATGGGCAGAGCACAGGGGGTTTTCCGCATAGTGAAACTATTCAGTATGACACTATAATATTAATAGTACAGTATTGGTTCTACTCCACAAAACCTTGCTAGAACTAGGTATATCCTGAGTGTTCGATAAAATTATAATTTTTCACAACATTACCCTTTTTGGCTACAGAACTATATTATTTTCTAATTCCGTTGGTATTTTTACTATTGCTAATTAGATGAGACAAATCTACTGTATTACCAGAACCAATAGAACATAGTTCTTTTCCTCTCAATTATATTTTAAGCAACACACGTAGATGACAATTTCTCTTTTAATATGTTCTGATTCAAATGTTTCCTCCCACATTTGAAGTGGTCTTCCCAGGTCTCTGCAGCTGAAAGTGGCACTTTGTTGGTATATTTATTATGGCATTTCATGTTTTCTGTGATGTATTTCTGTTCTTGAATTTTATGCTATATCAGGCTAAGAGCTCCTTGAAAGCAGAAACCTCCCGTTTCGTTTTTTGTCACCCCGCATGCCATGTGATATCTTGCACAGAGGAGGTGCTCAAGAAATAGTTTTGAATCAATCTGTTTATTTGGCAGATGAAACAACTCATACAGGCATTCAGCTAATCTCAGGTCTATCCATGTCCAGGACTTTTCACAATATTTGATGAACTTTTAATTTCTCCTTCTTCCACCAGAGAACATCTTCCACCCCGTCTCTTTCAGCCTCACTCTTATAAATCAGTGCCATCGTAGCTTACATCTTTAAGATTCATGGGTTTTCTTTTTCCTCTTGACTAAATAAATTATCTCTTTTTATAACCATTTAATTTATCCTGAACATGCCATTTGGCTATTAATTCATTTTTAATTAATTTATTGTTTTAGAGACAGGTTCACGCTCTGTTGCCCAAGCTGGAATGCAGTAGTGCAATCATGTCTCATGGCAGCCTGGAACTCCTGGGCTTAAGCAATCTTCCCGCCTCAGCCTCCCCAGTAAGTGGGACTACACGCATGCACCACCATGACCAACTAATTTTTAAAAATGTTTTTTAACATAGAGGCAGGATCTCACCATGTTGCCCAGGCTGGTCTCAAACTCCTGGCTCCAAGAGATCCTCCCACCTCAGCCTCTCAAAGTGCTGGGGTTACAGGTGTAAGACACCATGACTGGCCTGCAATTTGGTTTTTAATTTGCATTATAATTTGTTTGGATCACATGCTGCTGCTCCTAACTATTTGATATTTTCAATAGACTATATTCACATCCCCTCATGTTTAAATAAACATTTATTTAAAAAAGCATATAAAAACAAAAAAATGAGTGACACAATTGATGCATTTTTTAAAAATGAAGACTCTTAAAGAGAAAAAAATGTCAGAATTCTGTTAGACTTAACTTGAATTCTATCACTTAGCATTTTTCTATTTAAAAAAATACACTTGTACGTAGGACGTGGGGAGCATGTCTGTGTTTTTTTTTAAAGTATTATTTCTAAGGCCTCTGATGGCTGCACCCCAACTGCAATGATGAACACAATAGCGTCCATCTATACAAAACAAAGATCAGCCAGGTTACCCAAAGGGGGACATTAAGGCCTTCTTCTTTTATGACTTTAGGAAAGTGGAGAGCTGGCTTATTATATCCAGAAAACATTATTTTGTAATATTTTCGAACACCAAAATTTGGGGCCTTAAAAAAGAGTGACCTGGGTCTAACTTGTGACCTTGACTCTGAGATGGTACTCATCGTTCCACAGCTAATCAGGAGCCGTTCTCCCAGATGGTCCATGACAATAGAATATAAACAGAGCAGTGACCGCTCATCCCCACATGTAGGGAGTGGCCTGGACTTTCTACGATGTGGACAAGAGGACTGTGGGGTGGAGACACATTCAAAATGTCTTTCCAAAAGGAGATACTCCAACACTCATACAAACTCCTTCAGGCATTCCAACAGCATTCCCATTTATAATGGAAGCCAACTTTTTAAAAAAAGAAAACAAAACAAAACAAAAAAACTGCAGATCACAAATATCAAGACATTTTCCTGAAGAAAAGAAAATGTAAAATTTCAGCAAAGTCAGTTTCGTTAGATTACAGACAGAAGATAGAAAAAAAAAAAAAAGAAAACATTGCATTTTTTGTTTGTCTGTTTCCTGGTAGAATCTGAGCGAGGCAAAATAACAGCACTAATGTGTAGAAAGAATTCCACATCTGGAAAACCTTTGCTTCGTCTATGGTAGCTTTTCAGCCTCTTGCTCTGTCTCTATTATTTCCCATGACTTCAGCTTACCTTGCTTTTGTTTTCTTTAGTGAAATTATTTAACCCTTAGGGGTTTCAGGCTTGGTCTGGTTTGGTTGGTTTGGTTTCTAGGGAAAGAGAATACTACATAATATTTTTGTGATTTTCTAGAATTTACCTTATTTATATTTATTACTGTCTATGTCACTTACATTTACTTTATTTATATTTATTACTGTCCATGTCACTATAGTATGTACTTACTATACTATATAAGTGACATGGACATAATGCATATAAATATCTGATCACTTCTATGAATTTATATTTTAGAAATACTTTAAGTGGACAGGGTTTGATTTTCATTTTAATAGCTCTGATATTGGTCTTTCTCTTCCCATTCAAGAGTTTTATTTTGTTCATCTCAAATAATAGAAGTTAATATCATGGAGCAGACAGAAATAAATTTACATATTAGTATCACAGTACTCACTGAAATCATATATAATTAACAAAAAATATTTACTATCCAAACATGATTTCACTGAATTCTCTATTATAAGCCTTAAGTAAGTTACATGGCATTGATATTTCAGTTTTCTTTTCCTCTGTCTTTACACCTTCTCTTGGGAATCTCACCCAACTAAAGATATGTCTGCACATGGCCAGGCGCAGTGGCTCATGCCTGTAATCCCAGCACTTTGGGAGGCTGAGGCGGGCAGATCACTTGAGGCCAGGAGTTCAAGACCAGCCTGGCCCACATGGTGAAACCCTGTCTCTACTAAAAATACAAAAAATTAGCCAGGCGTGGTGGCACATACTTGTAATCGCAGCTAATTGGGAGGCTGAGGCTGGAGAATCCTTGAACCCGGGAGGCAGAGGTTGCAGGGAGCCAAGATCGCGCCATTGCACTCCAGCCTGGGCAGTGAGAATGAAACTCCATCTCAAAGAAAAACAAGATATGTCTGCACAGTCTCCAGCTCTGGCCACTCTACCAAGCTACGCATCTCATTCCAGTTGCCCCCTAGTGCCATCACAGGAATGCTCACATTCTCCACAACCCGCACTTTCCTCCTCAGTGTTTCTGCTAATATTGTTACCTTTTCCTGAAATTTCCTTTTATATCATCTCCAGATGTCCATATTTACTTTGTCTTTGAAGATTTCCAGGATATCCACTATTCAGCAATTGGCACTTTTCCCCCAAACACTCCAGTACTCTATCCGAACTTCTTATAAGGCTGGCATCCTTTTATACTCTTTATTATTATTATTAAGACATTTTTCCCCTACTATATAATAAAAACCACATGTGAATTATCTTTGCATTTCTTGAACATAAAGGACACTCAATAATTTTTTTCAAAAATTAAGAAATTGAAAGAAAGGGAAATGGCATTTTTAATTAAGAAAAAAGGCATATCCTTTAATGCACTGTTTGCTAAAGTGTGCCCCATAATTTTCTAGAATACTTGTTCAAAAATTCAGATTCCTGGATGCCTCCAGGCCTGCTGAACCAAAATCTCCTAGGCTTAGTAACCATAAATATTAACATACTCTCCAGGGACTTGTTATGAACACTAAGTTTGAAGACCACTGGTTAATATCAGTGGAAATTTCACATCTATTATTCTTCCTCTACATGCATTTCATTTCATTTGGTACTTCAAAGTGTGTACGGCAAAACAACATCTTAAGGCTTAAGACAGATTATCATGGCACTCGATGACTACCAAAAAGTCACATTTTATTATAAATATAACCAAAACTATTTTTGAATATGTATTATTGCCATAAAATGCACTAAGCTCATAAAACTATTGAAGACACTACCTGTACAGAACTTAGAGTCAAGGTAAAAGAAAAGACACAAAAATATAAAGTGTATTGAACAAGCAAAATACTAAAAGATACCCTAAGTGTCATATGGTTGCACATATTTGCCATTAGCCAACCTACTCATTATCCTGTCTCCCAAGGACAACAACCTTTTAAGGTAATTAAAATAATTCCATATGCAGACATGGCAGGGAGACAAAAAGAGAATGGGGCTGTACAATGAGAAGCTGGGTGTCACGCCACTCACATTCAATAAGTAGATGTTTATTGGAACAAGGTTCTTATTTTATTTACAAAATTCTCTAGCGTTGTATACCCCCTTCTCCTCCCCAGGGCTAAATTTTATTCACATCTTGGAATAGCCTAGCAGGTGTTACCAAGCACCCACATAAAAGGAATTTTTGTCTGGTCACAGTGGCTTATGCCTGTAATCCCAACAATTTGGAAGGCCAAGGCAGGAGGATTGCTTGAGGCCAGGAGTTCAAAGCCAGCCTGGGCAACATAGTGAGAGCTTGCCTCTACAAAAAAAAATTTGAACAATTAGCTGGGCATGGTGACACCTGTCTATAATCCCAGCTACTCAGGTGGCTGAGGTAGGAGGATCACTTGAGGCCATGAGTTTTATACCTGCCTGGGCAAAATAGAGAGACTCCAACTCTATGAAAAAAAAATTAATTTAACCAGGTGCAAAGGCACACCCCTGTAGTCCTAGCTACTCTGGAGGCTGAGGCAGGAAGATAGCTTGAACTCAGGAGTTGGAGCTATGATCACACCACTGCATGCCAGCCTGGGTGACAGAACAAAACAATGTCTCTAAATAATAATAATAATAATAAAAGGAATTCTAACTCTATGAGATGGAGGGTATTTGGGGGTGAAGGAATTATAGAGCACTGTGGAGTGGTAGCCCTGGGAAGCCAGATGGCATGAGCACCGAATGCCTTAGGAAAAAGGAACAGGTCACAGGAGTGAAGTTGGTCACAGAATGAAAGTGGAGAATGGTGTCACACACAGAGCACCTAATATGCGATTTTGTAATTCCTAAAAATGGCCCAAGTAACACTGCAAAAATCACTGCCATATAAAAGGCCATATATAAATTGCCACATAAAAACTGATATAAACTTTGGTTAAGTCCACAACCTTTAGCTTCCCCTAAGTGGAACCTATGATCCCTAAGCTGGGTTGATGCAAGTCCTCCCAAATGTCAGCCCACACAAGTCTCTTCCCTACCCACTTCTTACTTCTTCTTTCCTCCCCTAGAAAGTTGCAGGCCAGCAATAAAGGGGGAAAGGGGCAGGAACTAGTGACGTTGATAGGGGCCGCCTCTCCTGTTGAGTTGTCTCAGGATCTCCTTATTCTAGACCTTGATGGCACATCCTTTGAGGATGCTGATAGCCTGCTGAGCAAGATAAGCAGTAACAGCTAAGTGGTAAGATACTCAAGAGTTTCTGGACATTTAGCTGAGGAGGGAAAGAAAGCATTGAAATACTGGAAAGGAAGATCTGAGGCATTTCTAGGCAAGGAAAATACTGTTGGCAAAATTAGAAGACTGGGAAATGCATGAGGCACAGTGATGCAATTGAGCAGCCCAGCCAGCTGGAGGCTAGAGTTTGAGTTTAGAAGGAGAGAAGAGTGGAAAAATGGTATGGGTCCAGACTCCAACAGCCCTCAAAGAGTGATTATAATTTTTACAAGGAATACTAATTCTTATTAATCCGTTACATTGCCCCATCTGCAGAGATCTAGACATCCTTATTCTTAGTTCTGTATTAAAGGAAAACAAAAACAATTATTTTTAAATGATACACTATAATACCAGAAACTCTTTAGATAACAACTGTGATCACTATTGACAACAAACTTTTAATAAGTATACATTTCATGGGATTTAGTGGCTAGGTTAGAAAAAAAGTCAAAATATTTTGAAGTAGGCTTTTGGTTTTGCTGATACACTTCTAAAAACTGAGCTCTGATTTATTATAATTCAACCATTGCTCATGATAATACATAACAAGTGACACAATCTTTATAAAGATAACGTATGAATTTAAAGAACTAAGAAAATAGCTGTTTCTAAAGATCTCCAATTTTCCAACTGATTTCTGAGCAAATATTCTCCTAAGAAATTCTATTTCCTAAAAAAAAAAAGCTAGATAAAAGGAAAATCTACCTTATAATAATTATATTTTACACTTAATTGGCAAAATTGCCTGTTTTATTTCCTTTCTCCATGTATCCTTTCTTTATCTTTGAATATTTCACTTTTCGACATTCTTGCATCATCGGCGATCTAGTCTTGGTGCCAGATGTGAACCACTCAATGTGCACAAAATTCCAAAGGCAAAAATACCTCTGTTCCCTTGGGAGGTTTATTTTACAATTTCCAATTGAAATGTTAACGATGTTTACTACTGCTGCTTTTCCATGTATATAACAAATAATGAGAGATGTACAAATACCAACAAGGGTTTAATTCAGAGGCTGATTTTTAAACTTCACAAAACAGTAGCCTTTTCTCTCCATCTAGAGCTACTCTTATACTTTATACTTATACTTCAGAGCAGGGTTTTCCAAACTATTTATGGTGATTGATTTCTTTAACCCGTACTGTTTTAAAATATAATGAAAATAAAGTATTAGAAAAATAAAATTGGAAAAGAAAACAAAATAGAAGCCAAAGATTTTTTTATCGTTAGATTCAACAAACATAAAATTAAGAATTTTCTGATTGCTTACTTTCCATTTCTGTCCTCATCTCTGACCATCTGTCTAGACCCTGACGAGCCATACATTGAATTGGCCACACTTTGATTAGTTTCAGAGGCCAGAAAGCCCAAGCCAGTAAGAAGTGGGAGGGAAAGTTAGAGTCAGAGTTTCCCAGCTGTTTAGTTGAAGAGATTAGGAAATCAATGAAGGCCTCAGGTTTCTTTGATTCCCACCACATTTCTTAAATTTATTAACGAGAGTCTCCCAACACATATACACACAAAAGAATCTGTACAAAAGAAGCATTTGCTAAAAATCTCCATGGCCTTTCACCATCCGCATTTGTGCTTCAGTCTCTAGAGTGCTCAACCTTCACCTCAGATCCCCTCTTTCCCTTGAAGTTTGCAGACTGTCATCTCCTGTACAGTTTCAAGTCATGCAAACACATCATGAGGTTCCATCTCCTACAATTCTATTTTTCCTTTTATCAAAGGCTTTCTTTTTTTCCTTCTTCTCCTCACTTGTCTTTCTTTAGCATTTTTATGCCAATCAAAAGAGTAAGAGTTTCACTTTTTTCATGTGTTTTTTTTTTTTTCTATTTTTTTTCCTATTTCAAAATAGTTAAGAAAAGGTTTTTGGCTATCAGAGAGACTGTGAAAATTTACATTCTTTTGCTGCTAATATTAGCAAAATGCCTGTTCACTTTAATAAGTATTTTTTCAGGTTGCATTCTGTGCCTTGAAAAGGAATATATATCCATACAAACAGCATATTCTCATATAATAATGTGATACAATAGAAACATCATTATTGAGTTGACATGTTTTTATACTTTTATAATGAATGAACTGATACTAATAATGATTCCATATAAAGTGACCCTTTCATGAAACCATTAAAATACATTTTATCATTGACATTTAAACCTATTTATTGTAATAAAATTTAATCCACTTAACACAACACTGGGTATGTCATTTCGATATACATATTCTCCAAGCCAGTGATCATTCCTTAAACAGCAATTTTTTTCTCTGGTGGTAGAAAAACCACCTCCTCTCCACCTCCCTGTGAAGTCATACATCTAATTTTCAGAGATTGAGGATTCTGATGGTTTGCTTTGGTTAGAGAATTTTTCCTGATATCAGATTTTGAACACTGAGCTTCTTTGACCCAATTCTATCACTTCTATATGTTCTGTGAAATCTTATTCATAAATCCATTGATTTTTCAATTGGATTGTTTCTATTTTGCTCTTTGATTTACAGAAGTGCTTTATTTATTACAGATAATAACACTGTATTGCATATTTATTGTGCAAATATTTCCCCGGTTTATCACTTTGCTTTTCATCATCACATCTAAAAATTCTCTCATGTACCAAGTAGTTAATCTCATCCCACATTCACCCCATTCCCAGCCTCTGGCAAGCACTGAGCTGATCTCTGCCACTACAGCTTTGACTTTTGTAGAATTATCTCTAAGTGGAAAAAGGCGTTTGTACAAAGATATATTTTTATATATCTTTAGTAATTCCTAGGAGTGGAATTCATTGGTAGGGTACGTTTAACTTTATAAGAAACTTCCAAACTGTTTCCAAATGGCTTAAACCATTTTACATTCCCACCAGCAATATGTAAGTATCCCAGTTGCTCCACATTCTCTCCAACACTTAGTATGGTCAGTCTTTTTAATTTTAGTATGTGATGGTATCTCCATATGTCTTTAATTTGCATTTCCCTAATGACTTATGACGTTGGGCATCTTTTCATGTACTTATTGGCCATTCATATATCTTCTTTTGTGATGTATCAGTTTAAACTTTTTGCCCATTTGTTAAAATGTGGTCAGAAGAAGATGATTAGAAAACTTCTACAAGTCTTACAGTTTTACTCCTACATTTAGGTCTGTGGTCTATGTTCCATTTAGAGTTAATGTTTGTTTTAGGTGTGAGGTAAAGCTCAAGGTTTCTTTTTTCCATATGGTTATCCAACTGCCCCAGCACCCCAGTTGTTGATAACCTATTTCAGGTAGATTATCTCCCCTCCATTAGCTAACTTTAGCACCATTATAAAAAAAATCAACTGACCATATAGTATGGATCTACTTCTGGAATCTTGGTTCTGTTCCATTAGTCTAATTTCTATAGTTAAATCAATACCACCCTGTCTTGATTACTGTCGCTTTTACAGTAAATCTTGGAATCAGGCAGTGTAAATCCTCCAACATCACTCTTCACTTTCAAAATTGTTTTGGCTCCTTTAGGTCTTTTGTATTTCCATATACATTAGAATCAACTTGTCAGTTAAACAAACAGACAAACAAAAAAACCTGCTGGAATTTTTAATGGTCTTGTGTTGAATCTATAGTTTGGAAGAATTAACAACCTAGCAATATTGTCTTCAAATGCATAAATGGTACATCTCCATTTATTTAGATCTTCTTCAATTTCTCTTAGCAATATTTTGTAGTTTTTCAGTGTACAAATTTTTGTACAAATATTTTATTAAATGTATCTCTAAGTATTTCATATTTTTAATCATGCATGGTATTTTCTTGTTTTAACTGTGAACTGTTCATTTCTAGTATGTGAAAATACAATTGATTTTGTATATTAATCTTCAATCCTGTGATCTTGCTAAACTCACTTTTTACTTGTAGTTGATCTGACTAGAGATTAAGCAATTGTATTGATCTCTTCAAAGAACCAGGTTTTGTTCTTCTAAACTGTTTGTTGGTTTTTAATTTCAGGGCTTTCTATTGTTATCTTTATTTTTATTTTTTATTCACTTTTTTTTCAGACGGAATCTTGCTCTGTCACCCAGGCTGGAGTGCAATGGCGCGATCTCAGCGCACTGCAACTTCTGCCTCCCGGGTTTAAGCAATTCTCCTACCTCAGCCTTCTGAGTAGCTGGGATTACAGGCGCCCGCCACCACGCCCAGCTAATTTTTCTATTTTTAGTAGAGACGGGGTTTCACCATGTTGGTCAGGCTGGTCTCGAACTCCTGACGTTAGGTGATCCACTCGCCTTGGCCTCCCAAAGTGTTGGGATTACAGGCATGAGCCACCGCGCCAGGCCGTTATCTTAACTATTTTTTTCTTTCTTCTGCTAATAGGTCCAAAGCAGTCTTTATTCTAGGACTAATTTAGCCCCACTACTGAGATTTGACTCTTCTGGGGATTATATCTAATGCTCCGTATTTCCTGAGGTCTCTTCATACTCACTGGTAAGAACACAAACTAATGCCAGCCTTGTGTGCACTCCAGGAAGTGACTGCACTTCCACTGGACTGGAAGTGACTCTAGTCCACTGATTTCCAGGGTTTCTTCCCTAGCCTTCGAGAGTTCTTTCGCATGCTGGTGGCAATCCGTGTTCAGCCAAAGGCTTGGGAAGACCCCTCTGCAGATCTCACTCTTTGTTCTGCTCCATCTTCTTTGATACTCTGTCCTACAAATTCTAGCTGCCTCCATTCCCCTAAACTCTGATCTCTGTCACCTCAACACTGCTACGCCACGCTGAGTGGCTCATATCTGCAATCCCAACACTTTGGGAGGCAGAGGCGGGAGAATCGTTTGAGCCCATGAGTTTGAGGCCATCCTGGGCAATATAGGGATATCTGATCTCTACAAAACATTAAAAAATAAGCCAGGCATAGTGGTGTGCGCCTGTAGTCCAGGCTACTCAGGAGGCTGCAGTGAGAGGATTGCTTGAGCTCAGGAGCAGAAGTTGCAGTGAGCCAAGATCGCACCACTACACTCCTGCCTGGGCAACAGAGTGAGATCTTGTCTCAAAAAAGAAAGAAAGAAAAAGAAAAAGAACTGCCAGGTTATATTTGGTTTTCCTCTCTCTATTCTGTGGCCCCAAAATTGCCCATATGCAGAGTTGGTATCAGAACAATGGTCACGCTTATCTATTTTTTTAAAACCTTCTCTCAGAGATTACAGTACTTCACAATGTATCGTATATTTTCTGGAAAAAAAAAGTTGATTTCTTTTCTGTGTGTGTGTGTGTGTGTGTGTGTGTGTGTGTTTCAGTAGGATCCCTTGGTACACAGAAGTCGACCTGCAAATAGCTTTTTACGGAAACATTCAAGCTAGTTGACACTGCAATCTTTTGAGTCCTACCATCATATATAACATTTATTAATACTATGGTCAAAAAAGTATAATCAACAAGTTATGTTAACATAGAGAAATATTTGGGTTCCTGTTTGGTCTGACTTTTAAATCATCACTGAATGTATATGCCTGAGTATATTATGCAGCCATTATCTAAAACTGCTTTTCATTTTATTATTAGTGTAGGTATGTTTTTTGAGATGGTTGATAATTGTTATAATCCAAAAGTAACAATGTCTGTCATTCTTTATGGACATTTGTGGCAATGACTGTATATGAACATAAAACAATATGTGAGTTTTTTGGGTTTTTCCTCAGAAGGAAGTCTTCTAATTTAGAAACAGCAAGGGGTTAGTATTTTTATTTCAGTCTCATCAAAAAGACACATAAAACAGCTAGTATGAATTGCAATAACCACAATTTTAAAGCAGTTCAAGTAATCATAATATACTTTAAATCTGAGTGAGCAGAGAAATTGTAACTCTGGTTCTATGCTGTAATGCTGAGCTTCTTTACTAACACACTGTAATTTTACATGGTGAAAAATGAAAGGATAAAAGAAAGAATTAAAATATAATAGGAATAAAATAAAATGAAGAACAAAATAAAGGAAATTATTTCCCCCTGAAGTTTTAACTGTATCTAAAATTATTTTACTATTAGATATTCTGTTCTTGCTAAGGTAATATAAGTTATAGATTTTTTACATTATTTTTGGTGTACCATTATTGTTGATTTTTCTATAGAAATTGCAAATGTTTAACCTTTTGAAATTACAACATAAAAGAAAACCTGAAATCATGACATAGAAAAAAGTTCCTGAGGGCATCTCTACATCCTCTTTCCTTTTTCCAGTATGTTTTATTTCCTACCTCTCTGCTAAATATTTTCACCTCAAAAACTGTAGTCAACTGCAGAGAGTGGAAAAGAAATGATCGAGAGGATTAAACCCAAACAAACAGCTCCAGAGAGAGATGTTCAAAGCAACTTGAAAATAGCTTGACGAAAGCATTAAAATGGCCAATTATATATACTAATAGCTAGAATTCTGGTGAGGTATTTTTCTGAAGTGGAATGAGACCATCTAGCCCAGTAGAGTTGTTGAAACTTTTCTGTCCACTCTAACAGGAGGGACGAGTCCCCACCCTATGTAATTCTGATATCCACTTCTCCCACCCTCGAATCTCAACCAGAATAAATGATCTAGTCTATATCCTCATTAGCAAATGAGAAAACAAAATGCTGTCCCAAGATCACAAAGCTGTCTGGCAAGGCGCAGAATTGAAATTAAGTCTTCTTTTTCACAGGCAAGGTGACTTTTTGTAGCTCAGGTAGAGATCTTAGCTTCAGAAAGCATAAATAGTTACTGAAATTCAGCAGTCAAAAGGAAATAAGATAATGTTACATGACTCAAGAAGAAAAGGAAGTCCTTCTCTCTTCCCTAACATTCACTTCTTGTTTTATTGCAGCCTCTTCCCATATAGATATATTCAACACTATGCCCTCCAACAAGTTGATTTTACTCTGAAAGATAGTGTGATTTTGGTATATATCAGAAGTTGTAGAGCAAGTCTCTGAACCTTGATCACCAGGCCTGTCAGTAAAGCTTTCTAAGCATAGAACCCCAGTGTATATATTTATTTATGTATAAATTATATCTATAAATCATGGTACTTATGTGCTTTGTACATTATACAAAAATGGAAATATTTAAAGAACTATATGCGTAGATACAGATATAGATTCCAAGATTTTCTCCCTGCCTTCCAAGAATAATTTTGTTTGTCCCCAGGTCAGAGCTAATCAATTTGAAGAAAATCATCATTGTAGTTTTTTGGTCTATCAAACATCAATATACACCTAATAGTGCAAGCCACCTTGATTTGACCCTTTGGTCAAGAACATTTCATAGAGTTTATCACAAAGAAGATTCTCACCCAAATTCAGTGGATCCTTAGGGTTCCAAATGTAGAAGCAGATTAACAAGTAAAATTGCCAGTTGCCAGAGCAAATGCACTAAAGATGATTATATTAACTAAACATTTCAAAACAAAAACAGTCCTCCATGGCATATAACATACACGCTAGATGCCAGTTATCACAATGAACAGAAACCATTTAGACATCCTTCAGAGTTACAGAGTCTTCATTCTACGAATACTCCTTGTCATGGACTATTGGATACCTACACAGTGGAGAAGATCTTCTGTGGAGTTACAGCATTTTAGGGAGATATATTATGCTGGGATAGGCACTGCCATGCACTAAGCCTGCCATCCCGTTTCAGGGGCTGGATCACTCATAGGACTTAACCAATGGGGTTATAATCATTTTCTTTCTATGCCAAAGACCCAGATCCAAACACGGTATTAACTCTTAATAAGCTTTTCATTTCCCATCATTATTCACATTCTTTTGAAAGGATCTTCCAGCACTTTAGGTAGTCCTAAATGTTCTCATTGGTCCAAAGAAGTCTTAAATGATTTTCATCAGCAACAGTGGCCATAAGACCAAAGTGGATTTATGTTACACAGGCTTGGAAAAGAAGAGGTCTCTAACATTAAATCAGAGAAGATGGAACCTAGAAACACTATAAAATTAAAAATTTTGTTTGCAGTAAGATAAAATGTATAAATCAGACAAAATTACATTAAATCAATAATACATTACCAAAGCAGGATGATTTTCTTATATGGAAAATATTAGGGACTTACTTAAACCAGAATCTCTAGCTTAGGATACAGACTAGAACCTCTGTTCTCCAGGGATCTGGAAGAGTTTACACAGCTTCCCTGGTCAAACAGCACCTCCACCAATGGCTGAAACTAACCCTTTATCACAGAAATAAGAAACTGCAAACCTATCAAAGCATAATGTCATTATTCTCATTTTTCTTTTTTTTTTTTTTTTTTTTTTTGAGATGGAGTCTCTCTCCGTTGCCCAGGCTGGAGTGCAGTGGTGCGATCTCGGCTCACTGTAAACTCCGCCTCCTGGGTTCATGCCATTCTCCTGCCTCAGCCTCCTGAGTAGCTGGGACTATAGGTACCTGCCACCACGCCCGGCTAATTTTTTTTTTTTTTGTATTTTTAGTAGAGACGGGGGTTTCACTGTGTTAGCCAGGATGGTCTCGATCTCCCGACCTCATGATCCATGCACCTCGGCCTCCCAAAGTGCTGGGATTACAGGTGTGAGCCACCGCACCCAGCCTATTCTCACTTTTCTTGTGATTCCCAGTGGGATCTTGAAAAACCAATGAACTCATATTTCCACTTGTTCTACCTGCTAAGCTGAGACAACACTAATTATCACAAACTATTCTCACCTCTCAGAGTCATAGAAAACTGGGATAGTTTGAAGTTTGTGGAAATACAACTTGAGAAATTATTGTCTAAGTGGCAGATTCTAAGCAGCACCTTTTCTGTGTCTATCATTTCTAGTGGCCTACAAAGAAAGCAAAATGTAAGAATAATTTAAAACTGGTTGTGTATTAGAATGGTCTTTACACTATACCCATAAAATGTAGCTGAGATTTATCCATAAGGGGTTGAAATACCCTCACAGTGAAATTTGGACTTAATGAGTTGTCAGAAATGAGAGGCCAAATTGTCAGCTCTACGTTGGCCTATGGTAAAACCTATAATTAAAGTTTGCCTTGCTCAAAAATGCTTAGCTGCACTTCCCCTCCTGAAATACTCTGCCAAGAAAATTTACATTTATGCCATGAGGTTTCCTTTGAAAAAGACAAACAAAACATAAAGTCCTCTTAAGTAGGTGAAGTCTGTGGGTCATTCTACCTAATGCAACCTGCACTAGGAATAGGCAGGTGTTTCTAACACCTACTGAAATGAGCTTCACTGAAGAACTGTTAAGTATTGTCCTAGAGAAAGTGTGTTGCTAAGAGGAGGAGGGTTGTTTTATAACACTTTGGTGATTAGACCTGAGTGCTCTACTGTTAAACAGTGTGTGTTGAACCAGACCTTGGTTCTCTTGGCTCATTGCCTTTAATTTCCATAGTCGGGATCACCTCAAATCTATCTGCAGACTCAGGATTCTGCCACACCCTAGGTCCTGTTCGTTATTTTATTTTGGCTAAGATTAAAGAGCATTAGCTCATAGCTTAGTATCGACTGAGCCTAGATAACACTAATGGGTCACTGTCGTTACTATGGTCATTAATTTAAGACCAACCAAGTTGATTAGGAAGCTAATGAGTTTTTGAGGCAGACGGCTCCGAGTATGAATCCTGGATCTGCCACTTACTATGTAAGCTTTTCGAATTTTTTCTTTCTAAGCTTCAAGTTTCCTCATCTCTAAAAAAGTGATAATAATACCTATACATGATCTCTGATGACTTGCTAGTCTATATACAACACTAGACGACTTTATCATACATTATAGGGACTTAATGAATGCTTATTTCCCTTTACTGCTCCCCTTCCTTTCTGTGTTTAGGTGTAGAAAAGCTTCCTACCATTATAGTCAGTCACTTTGCACGACTCAGACAATCAGCTGTTGATATTCATGCTGGGAGTGACTGTGTGTCCCTAACTTTATCATAGATCTAGACTGGAAACTCAGGTGAGATCAGTGCCTAGGAGGAGTTAGGAATCCAGGCTGCATTTTCCTTTGTGTTCCTGTAACATTGGAACATGCTTCTACCTTGAAACTTATCACATTATTTTGGAATCACTTTTGGTCGATGTGATATTTCCTCCTCGAAGACAGAGTTGAGGTCTTATTCATCCTAAAGTTCCGCAGGCCTAAAACAGCATCTGGTGAAGGGCACTACCCATGCCATGGGTACTTCATGCCATTCCTCTGCAAAACAGGTCCAGATGACATGATTCAACACGCTTCAAGGTGCCCAGACCTCTTTGAAGGAGAAACACACACAAACTCTGGGGACATTGTTTTAGAATGGAACCAGGCATTAGGCAATCATATTTTCTGAAAATCTTTAATAGAGGATTTTCATTTGGAATTGGCCCGTGCAGGCACGGAGGTCTGTCTACATCAGCAGTTAGCATGCATTCTCTCCTAATCTGTGTCCAGTCCAATGATAAGGCAAAGACGTGGATATCTACCATGAAGTACATGCTCAATGGGGGACATTCATGAGCTTTAACAGTTTGGGAACAATACAGTTTAGGACATACGGGTTATTAATAAGCATTGGTACTAATGTTAGTTATAATTCATGAGCACAATCTCACTATTTTCATAATCATCCTTTGTATAATTAAGTTGTTAAAGATATATGTGAAAATAATGCGTGTTGTAGAAATTAGAAGACTCAGGAGATCAGTGTGGGTTGAAAATGACTTTGTGTGTAAAAATAATTATGGTAATAATTAGCATTTGCATGGCTTCTTGAAATTTACAAAGTGTTTTTACAACATTATCTCATCTTGCAAAGGTTATGAACTGGCCTTTAGATGTCTTATGCCAATATTAAGCTTCCCTGCCAAACCTTGTGCATTATAAGGTAAGATTTGCTAGACAGAAAAAAAAAGAGGATTAATAATGCATTTAAAAGGCAAAAAATCTGCCAAATTTATTGGCGTAGAAATAGATTTATTTGGCATTTTAGAAACTAAGGCGCATATCTTGTAAAAGAAGCAGTTGGCTCATATTTTGATTTCATAGTGCTTGGAACTTTTTTTACATTTTGGGGGATGAGTTTTTGATGTGCAATTGTAATGAGGAAGTTCACTTACTTGGAACTAGAAGATTCATAAAATCAGGGGATATTTGAAACTTTTTAAGGGGCAAAACCTAGAGTGACTTGATTAAACCACTGTAAGTAGAAGTATGGTTAGAGAGAAAATGTGAGGAGCTGATCAGTATTTTGTTTAAAACTCAGGTGTCCATTTCCTTATTTTATTTATTTTAGAGACAGGGTCTTGCTCTGTCCCCCAGGCTGGAGAGCAGTGGGGGTGACCACAGGTCACTGCAGCCTGGAACTCCTGGGCTCAAGCGATTTTTCCCTCTCAGCCTCCCAAGCAGCTGGGACCACAGGTGCATGCCACCACACCCGCCTAATTTCTTGTAGGGGTGGGGTCTTGTTTGTTGCCCAAGCTGTTCTCAAGCTCCTGGCCTCAAGTGATCCTCCAGCCTCAGCCTTTCCAGGTGCTGGGAACAGGCGTGAGCCACAGTGCTGGCCTCTCAGGTCTCCATTTCTTAGAGGGAATCCAGATTGATCTGTAAAGTGCTCCTTCCAGCCATATCTTCCTTCCCACAACCACAACTAAAGGTTGAACTTCCTATCTCATCAACCGCCTAATCTAAAACCATGAGTTAATGAGATAAAAATGAGTCACTAAAATGCAAACGTTCTTGAGAATCAACCTTGAAAGTTAAAGACAAGGCCACCTGCCAGCCCCACCCTCCCACCTCCCCTGCGTGCTTGCCTGCGGCGCTGCGTTTCCCTTTGAAAACGCGAGGTCACCTGGACTGCCCCTGAAGGGAAGACCTGCTATGTGACCCAGGAGCAGCCCGGCGCGGACCCAGGTGAGTCATTGGGTTGCACAGGAAGCGAGACGCCTCCGGATAGCTGTGCTGCAGCTCGCGCGCCCCGCGAGGGTGTCGCCGGCGCAGGGTAAGTCTTTCCAGATGTGGCCGCCGCGCGCGCTTGGCCGCGGGCCAGGAGGCCGCCTGCAGTTGGCGCTTCCCGGGGCCGCAGTGCCAGCCGCAATGCCGGCCTCCTGAAGGCAGGCGACAGCCTGCGGCCGGGAGCACAGCGCGGGGCGGAGTACCGAGGCATGGTCGCGGCGCCCGGGCTGCGCTGAAGGCGTCTGCGAGCGGATGGGGGACCCCAAGGCCCACGTGATGGCGCGCCCCCTGCGAGCCCCTCTCCGGAGGTCCTTTAGCGATCACATCAGGGACTCCACGGCCAGAGCCCTGGATGTCATTTGGAAAAACACTAGAGACAGACGGCTGGCAGGTGAGAGGCAGAGGGGGATTGGAGACCGGGGGTGAGGGGTATTAAAAAGAAAACAATTTACTGCGAAGACGCAGTGATAAGCTTGGTTCATGAATGATCTCATCAGCTGGTTGAAGTTTCATTCTTGTCATGGCAGTGTGTTCGGTCTCCCTTTCTCTAGTATTTAACCTTGATGGAGTGTTGAGATTTTTGTGTGTTTGTTTTGTGTAACGCCGCTCTGGTTACTGGTCTGATTATTTCTAGATAAGGAATTATGAGAGTTGTGGGGTTTTTTAACCTTCAAAAGAGAAGCAAGGTCCTTGTGACTGTCAGGAAATCGGTAGTGATGAACAACTGCTGCAAAAGCCCTGAGATCCTCGGGGCTGTCTCGGGTCAGCTTTGGAGCTGAAGCTGATCAGGTGTGAGGTGCCCTGGCGTGTGTGCAGGAGAGGGGCCTGGCAGGTCTGTGTGTCAGTGGAGTGATGGGCGCTGCCCAGTGAAAGCCTGCTGGTATTTCCTCTGGCAGCCTGGAGCTACTCTCGGTTCCAAGACGGTGTCATGTATGCCAGAGGCAGGCGTTTGAAATATAATAAAGCAAATACAGTGGTGCAATTCAAGTGCTCTAGGGCTCATGTGACAGCCACCAAATGGTAGACTGTGTTTGCAGGGGTCCAGTGAGGAGATAGGGACTTCTGTCCGATTTTTGCGTTGGGATAAAATAGCATCTCACTACGATATGAAAAAACTCTCCGAATTAGGGTAGGGTTTCCCAATAGCGTTTATGGTGCCTTCTTGTTTGCTCTCTAAGTCTGTGTTCCTATGCCGTCTACATGGATGGGTCAAAGACTATGTTTTCTTAACCTCTTTGGTCAATCCAGTTGTTTTCCGTATACTGAAGGAAGGTCTGAATTTACAAATATTAGAGGTGGCCTCTAAGAGTCAATACAGAGTTCTGTGCTGTGTTCTTAATAAAAGGTCTTTTGATTTTCACATAATTGTCCTGATATGACTTGAAGAGGGGAAATTTAAAGTGTGCGATTGTGATAAAGCAGATTGTGAAGATAACATGGTAGTTTCATGCCCTCATAAACTCTAATTTGTTCTGAATGCACATGAAAATCTTTCTGTCTGTTGCACTAAACAATATTCCCCAGGACTGACGGAGAAAGTAAACAATGTCAAGTCGAACCATTAGGTAGGGAAGGGAGCAAAATATTTTAAATTTAACCATTTTATTATTGTTTAGAGGAAAATGTGGCACCCTAAAGAAATACGACTTTCCAATATGATTTTTTATTTAACTCTTTAAGGTGTATGATCTCATTTGCAATTAACCAGAAGAAGTTTAAGATGTAAGATTTGGGAGTAAAAAATTCAAAACTATAATTGGTTGACAATTTAAAAGAAAAGGTACTTTCTTCATATTTGTCTTGTTTAATAAACAATGCCGCAAATGAAAAGATTCTATAAATAATATCTTACTAAAGATAATGCAAAAATATCTTGTTGTGGTTTAATGTTTTAATTTGAAAGTAAGACTAATTCAAACATTTATGCTTCTGAGATTTCCTCTTACATTTTCATACATAGCCTTTGACAGCTGATGAGAATAATAATATCCTCTAAGAATAAGAATGTTATCCCTGGAAAGTTGTTCTCTTTCTTCTTATTTGTCTGTTATATATTAATACTATGTTTGGAGTCAAAACATAACAGCAAGTGTAAATTAATGAAAACACTTAGAGAAAAACAGTTAATTTTTATGTGTGATGAAAAATCAAATGTTTTCACAACTCTAGCAGCAAATAGGATTTTTACTGCTCTAGGTCCATTGCGGGAAATAATTCTTTATGTTGCCCAGGGTTTCTAAGAGCAGTATGGACCTCTGAAGTAACTCACACAGTAGAGAATCCAGATACCATGCTTGAAAGGAAAAGACTTTGGCTATGACAACTGACTTTGATTTTGGGGGACCTGGACACTTTTGGTGTCCTCCTCACTCTTGGCTCATGGCTGGAAGCTCAGTTAGTCAAATGAAGATTGACTTGGTGCACAGCCAAACCTCAAGAGCACTTGCTTCCATCCCTTTCCCTCAAGCTTCTCCTCTGCACTCAACCCTTCCACTCACCAAACATGAACTAATGGCTGCTAATGATCCACAAAAAGTCACTTCTCTGAACACCAGAGAAAATCTTTGTTATATGTCCTACCACCTTGCCTTCGTGTGCAGAATGGAGGGCAGTAGAAAGTCCAAACCCTTTTCTTTATGTTGTGAAATTAATGAGGTAACAGGTAAAAAGTGTTTTTTAAGTCTCTGGAAGAGAATACTTCTGTTAATAGTAGCTAGAATGTTATTTCGGTGATGATTATTGCCTTCCTGACTTTCATCAGGTTTCTCAAAAACTAATCTGAGATTTTAGTTTCTTTCACCTAATCAAAGGGTTTGGTCGTGGGATAACATTTTAAGTTTCCTTGTTAGGTATATTCTTATTCATTCTCTCTCTCTCTCTTGCTCCCTCCCTCCCTGTCTCCCTCCCTCCCCCCTTCCCCCTTACACACACACACACACACACACACACACACACACACACACACAGGCACAGTTCTGCTATCCCAAATGATATCATGTACAAAAAGCATCATTTACATCTCCTTGTCTTAAACTCCCTTCTACACGAAACAGGGAGCCTGTCTGTTATTTTTAAGCATCTGCAGCCTTTTATAAACAATATACAGAATTGTTGCCAGGAAAAGGCCTTCAGTTTGTGAGGAAGGACAGATCAGATTGTCTTACTTGCATTCCCCTTTATATATGATCCCCTTTTTCTGCCCAGTTACATCCCACAGGAGTTTCTGTTAATCCTATCTTCTACAACCATTATTCCCAACCCCAAGGTACTCTGTCTTCTTTGCTAAAAGCAGAGGATGGTATTGAGTTTTCAGTGAACTAGAACTTTGAGGATGACAGTGGTTGAGTGATGCAGGGGACAGCTTTGTGCTGGATGAAGTGTGCTTCCTTCTTAAAGCTCCTCTGTGCTCTCACCCCCTCCCCTTTGATTCATGGACATCTGGTCAGCAGAGCACATCACATTCCTGAAGGGCAGTTGCCTCTTAATCCTTCCATAGAGGGCCTTGTAGCCTGCTTTTGTGCCCACGGATCTCTTTATCATTCCTGTGAAACCTATGGATCACTTCTCAGAATAATCTTTTTAAATGCATAAATAAAATATATAGAATTATAGAGGAAACCAATGATAGTGAAATACAGTTATCAAAGTATTCAAAACATAAAATTATGATGTACTAGTATACCGTGAATGAATTACATAAAAGGATAATGCCTTTAAAATATGGAGAAGTGAGTATAAGTTAAAAGCTATTTTTGTTTGTTTGTTTTGTTTTTTGTTTTGAGACGGAGTCTCGCTCTGTCACCCAGGTTGGAATGCAGTGGCGCGATCTCGGCTCACTTTAAGCTCTGCCTCCTGGGTTGACGCCATTCTCTTGCCTCAGCCTCCCGAGCAGCTGGGACTACAGGCGCCCACCACCACGCCCAGCTAATTTTTTTTTTCTATTTTTTGTATTTTTAGTAGAGACGGGGTTTCACCGTGTTAGCCAGGATGGTCTCGATCTCTTGACCTCGTGATCCGACTGCCTCGGCCTCCCAAAGTGCTGGGATTACAGGCATGAGCCACCGCACCCAGCCAGTTAAAAGCTATTTTTAAAGGTATTGTGTGCACACTGTTGTAATTTAACTCAACTAAAAACGTTAAGTTGTGCTGAAAGAAATAAGCTGAAAGAAATTAAATACTAGTCTTTTTTGTTTGTTTGTTTGTTTGTTTGCTGAGACAGAGTTTCACTCTGTCGCCCAGGCTGGAGTGCAGTGGCATGATCTCCGCTCACTGCAACCTCCACCTCCCTGGTTCAAGAGATTCCCAGCCTCTCGAGTAGCTGGGATTACAGGCAACCACCACCTCGCCTGGCTAATTTTTGTATTTTTAGTAGAGGCAGGGTTTCACCATGTTGGCCAGGCTGGTCTTGAACTCCTAACTTCAAATGATCCACCCACTTTGGCCTCGCAAATTGCCGAGATTACAGGCATGAGCCACTGGGCCTGGCCAATACTAGTCTTTATTTAACAACATCTTATAAAGTAAGACCTACTAAATAGTATCAATGACATTGACTTTTTAAAAGAAGGGATTTCTTCTCTCAATTTGGAGAACATGACATATAAGGGAAAAAGTCTAAATGCCTCCACCTGATTGAGATATGTGACGTCACATTATTCCCATAGCTAAACATTTAAGAGCCTGGGTACAGTGGCTCACGCCTGTAATCCCAACAATTTGGAAGCCCAGCAGGAGGACTGCTTGAGGCCTGGAACCCAAGACCAGCCTGGGTAACAGAGCAAGACCTTGTCTCTCCAAAAAATTTAAAAATTTAGCCAGGCGTGGTGGTGACCATCTGTAGTCCCAGGAGCTGAGTCAGGAGAATCACTTGAGCCCAGGAGTTCAAAGTTACAGTGAGCTATGATCATGCCACTGCACTCCAGCTTGAATGACATAGCAAGACCTCATCTTCTAAAAAGGAAAGTAAAAACAAACAAAAATATTTAAGAGAAAGAAGAAAAAACTGAATTGCCTATGAAGAGGGCAAGAAAATTTAGGCAAACCTCTATGCAAGTGAGAGTCAACAGACATAAAATAAATTCTTCAAGTAACTACATTAAGTTGAAATCCCCTGAGGTATTTTGCGGAGTGTTCAGGATCATATGTCTTTTGCAAAATAGATTTTTACATTGCAGCTGATGAGTCCTCCAATTCACTAGCAAAATGAGTGCTGGACACACTCTGTGGTACATTGGCTCTCACTTCAGTGGGGCATTGGGAATTCTGGCCCACTTCCAAGGAAGGGCAACCAAAAACATTGACTCCTGTGAACTGTTCTCTGCTCCTTTGGTTCACAGTGAAAAGCAAGTAAGGGCATATGTAATGCCTTTTAACCATGAGTGATGTAGGCCTCAAAATATGCAGCCTCCTCTAGTAAACAAACACTTTTCCAATCATAGGCAACACCAGAGGAGATTTTTAAAGACAGACAACCGTTAGGGAAGCTTCGTGAGATATTGCAATGTGAACATGTATCTAGATTAAGTTAAATGATACTGTTTTGATAAAAAGAGGAACATGTTGATGTCAAGGGTGGCTTTGATGAGAGAATATATTATATAGTGGCTTAGAGAGTTGACCTGCAACCTCAGGCTGCCTGTGGCTGAGTCCTGGTTCTTGCACTGGGTAATATTAGGCAAGTCAGCATTCCTTGCCAATACAAAGAGGATAACAGCACCTACGTCATGAAATGGTTTTAAGGATTAAATGAGCTACTCTGCAAAGTGCTTAGAGAGTCATTGACATATACTAAGCATTCCTTCAGTTTCAGTTCTTGATACCCTACTTCCTGAGGGCCTTCACCTTGTTAGCATGACACCTCTATAATTGGCTTTGGGCTTTTGGGCAAAAGTGGTTCAACCAGTCCAAAAAAAAAGAAAAGAAAAGGTAAAATGTCAATGGCAAATGGAATAGATTTCTGTATCTCTGGAGAGAAACAAAGAAGGATCTACTGGAGGTGACTTTTGTGCTGATCTTTGTGAACTCCAAAAGGAAATGACTGGAGAATAACTGATTCCACACATTGATGAGGGAATCGGTTCTTGCATATGAGCTTGTCAAGCTAGATATACGATATCTGAAAGTTTTCCTAAGCACGTTGGGACCTGCTTTGAAAATTGCTGTATAGATGGAGCCAAACATGGAAAAGAGCAGCAGCACCAGCAGGCCTGGGCTTTCAAGCACGTGGCTCAGCTGTGGTATGGGAAAAAATATGCTAAATGTCAAGGCTGCCACTTGAAAGGGATGTTTCGCACACCTCCCTTTCTGCAACAAGACTTCTGTGACTTTCTTTATTTAAAGTAGTGTGCATGCACAGTCTGCACATTTTACCAAAGGCCACTGTAATTACAATACCTAGATATGTCCAAAATCGAAGGCCTGGTAGGAGGGTCATATTAATTTGTCACACATCTACTTAAGGATCTGAGGCTATCTCATAAAGCAAAGACTGGATTTAAAAGAACATTCCTCTGGAAGTTCTCTATTTCAAATGAATTATTTAGGTATAGTTGGCAGTTAAACTTGAAAGTTTTTTAATTTCTTTTTTTTTTTTTTTTGAGACGGAGTCTCTCTCTGTCGCCCAGGCTGGAGTGCAGTGGCACGATCTTAGCTCACTGCAAGCTCCACCTCCCGGGTTCACACCATTCTCCTCCTGAGTAGCTGGGACTACAGGCGCCCGCCACCATGCCCACCTAATTTTTTTTTTTTTTTTGTATTTTTAGTAGAGACGGGGTTTCACCGTGTTAGCCAGGATGGTCTTGATCTCCCGACCTCGTGATCCGCCTGCTTCAGCCTCCCAAAATGCTGGGATTACAGGCACGGGCCACTGCGCCTGGCCATGTTTTTAAATTTCTTATTCTAATTACTTAGTTTTAATTATAATGTGTCTTTTTTTTTTTTTTTTTTTTTTTTGACAGAGTTTTGCTTTGTTTCCCAGGTTGGAGTGCAGTAGTATCATCATAGCTCAATGCAGCCTTGAACTCCTGAACTCAGCAATCTTCCTGCCTCAGCCTCCCCTCAGCAGCCAGGACTATAGGGTTGTGGCTAATTTTTTGATTTTTGTAGAGGTAGGGTCTTGCTCTGTCACCCAGGGTGGTCTCAAACTGCTGTCCTCAAGTGATCCTCCCAGCTGGGACTACAGGCACAAGCCACTGTGCCCAGCTTGTCACTCTTGAAGAAAGAGGAAATGCCATTCAGTTGGCATGTGCTGGAGTTGTTTGTGTGTGATGATGATGGATTTCCATTGATCCCTCTGTGCTCTTCCCTGTAGCTCAAGGACAACCACTAACATTTCTGAAGCTGTAGTTATTGATGAAGACCTAGCCATGGAAAACAACAGTTATTCAGCCCCATAATTGTCAAACTCACGACTATAGTACTGCTTTTACTCTTCTTAGGCACAGCCAAAGACAAGGCATGTGCTTTCTTAGAATATGAATGAGGCCGGGAGCGGTGGCTCACACCTGTAATCCCAGCACTTTGGAAGGCTGAGGCGGGCAGATCACGAGGTCAGGAGATTGAGACCATTCTGGCTAACACAGTGAAACCCCGTCTCTACTAAAAATACAAAAAATTAGCCAGGCGTGGTGGCGGGTGCCTTTAGTCCCAGCTACTCGGAGGCTGAGGCAGGAGAATGGCGTGAACCCGGGAGGCGGAGCTTGCAGTGAGCCGAGATCACGCCACTGCACTCTAGCCTGGGCCACAGAGTGAGACTCCATCTCAAAAAAAAAAAAAAAAAAAAGGAAGGAAGCACAGATGGGAGGGGTAGAACATGAGTACAAAGGTTGAGAAACACGGGTTTAAATTTACCTGAAGATACTTATAGGCCCCACTTCCCCTCATGGAGCCAAGAGTATCCTATAAACACACAAAAAGAAGTCAGAATTTCTGGATGCCCCCATAGAGCCAAGGGAAATTCTCTCTGCAAACAAGGCTGGGCCAGGTGGCTTATACCTGTAATCCCAGCACTTTTGGAGACCAAGGTGGAAGGATCACTTGAAGCCATGAGTTCAAGACACCTGGGCAACATAGCAAGACTCCGTCATTACAAATAATTTAAAAATTAGGCAGCTACGGTGGCATGCACCTGTAGCCCCAAATACTCGGGAAGCTGAGGTGGGAGGGTTACTTGAGCCCAGGTGTTTGAGGCTGCGCGCCTGTAGTCCCAGCTACTCGGGAGACTGAGGCAGGAGAATGGCGTGAACCTGGGAGGCGGAGCTTGCAGTGAGCCGAGATCGCGCCACTGCACTCCAACCTGGACAACAGTATGAGCCTCTCTCTAAAACAAACAGAGTCAGGCAAGTTAGTGCATCATCCTTAATGAACTGGCCATTCTCCTCTTTATAAGACAAAAAGACTTGTCATTCCAAAGTGCTATAAGGTTGTATTTTTAATCATATTTTTTAAAATGACATACTGACTTGTTTTCAAAGTTTAAAAGTACTAAAGCCTAAAATATGCCACTATTTAAGATAGAGTGATCTCAACTGATTTAGAAATCAGAATGAACTAAAATTGGAAGTTATACTTTAAATATTTCAATTTACACATAGATTACCCTCAGAGTTTAGCACATATGGGCTGTAGAACTGAAACACATTGTCCTAAGTCATTGTTGATTCCACAGAATTTCAGCCAACAACAGAAACACTCTTAATAAAAACAAATTATCAACTTCTAGACAATCAAAATCACCAAGACATAGTGAAAAGACATGGCATATTATTGCTTGGTGAAATCCTGGTTGGTGATTTTTGAAAGCCCTGATACCATAATGTAACCCTTCTCTCTTGGTTCTTTCTTTCTTTATGTGCTCAGGTAATGAGCACATCTAGGCAATTGCACACACACACACACACACACACACACACACACACACACACACTCCTCAGGAATCACATGACTTCAAAGAACTTTTCTTTATAAAAGATTGAAGATTCCTGAGTTATAGGTTGCTGGTGTAAAAGTCATAATATAACATCTGATTGTTGACACTATGCAGTGGGGGGAACAGTACATTTTATGGTGTCTAGACTTTGTTTTATCTGGTTGATTTTTGGTGACATATTTAGCTTTTTGTAGACAATTCTCAAATTACTGACTCAGCATTCAGTGTGGTTCAGTTTATCATGATCCATCATCTCTAATCTAGTTTTGAATAGCAGGATGTTGTAGGTCCAGATTGAAGTGTGACCTCTGAATGTTTTTCATTCATGGTTGATTACTATATCCTAGAGGTCTAGACAGTGTTATTGGTTTCTCACCAACATAAACATCTGGCAGAAAAAAAAAAAAGCTAAACTAGATGAGTAAGAACATTCCTAATCTACCTTTAGAATATGCTATATTTAAAATATAACTTTTTTGCAAAATGAAGCCCATTTCAGGTCTAAAAGTATGCCATCAAGCATATTGTTTTTCAGCTCTGATAAGACCGTCTTTGGACACTAATGTTTCACTGACGAAAACAAGTTTGAACATGTAATTTCAGGCTGCACTGGAAACATCTTTCTTTTGTGCTGTTACAAGAAGCTAGAATTTCATTTAGTGAATTCCAGCCAAATGAAATTAGCACGTGCATGTCAACTCATGTGTAGCTCGTGGCTGGACAAATGAGTTGGTAAACCAATGAAGATGAGGAAGACCAACTCATGTGCAGCTCATGGCTGGACAAATGGGTTGGTAAACCAATGAAGATGAGGAAGACTGGCGATGAAGCCAAACCCAAAGCACACGGGCATTAGTTATCAGGCCTTCTAATGTTATTATCAGGCCTTCTAAATTTTATTTCAGTTTCTAACAGTTTTTTGTTGTATTAGAACCATGCAAAGGGCTTTCTCTTTTTTTGTTTTGTTTTGTTTTGTTTTTTTAATACTAAGTCTTTCTCTATTGCCCAGGCTGGAGTGCAGTGGCAGGATCTCAGCTCACAGCAACTTCTGCCTTCCAGATTCAAGTGATTCTTGTGCCTCAGCCTCCCGAGTAGCTGGGACTACAGGCACCTGCCACCATATCCAGCTTATTTTTGTATTTTTAGTAGAGATGGGGTTTCACCATGTTGGCCAGGCTGGTCTCGAACTCCTGACCTCAAATGATCCTCCTGCCTCAGCCTCCCAAAGTGCTGGAATTACAGGTGTGAACCACCACGCCCAACCCAAAGAGCTTTCTTAACAGCCAGAACTTCCCAGGATAGAGTAATGTGCTCCTGAGACAAAGGGAGAAACTAGGCCTTTTTCTTTATGTTGGGGCTACCAAGCCCCTCCAACCAAACAACATACAAAACATGCCCAGAGCCATGAGTACCAGGTAAGAGAATGTGGATGATAACATCACAACCCAGAATGCTTCCCTTGTAGATGGAACACACATCTATGTCATGGCACTAACACTGGAAATTTTATAATTAGAATATCATAAGTTTATAAAATATGCATTCAGCAATTAATTCCAATTTATGTACAAGAGTTACTGCTTAGTATTTTTTTTCTTCCTTTTTTTGTTTGCTAAAGAAAGAAAGGAAGACAGAGAAAAGTTTCCTTTAGTCCTTCAGTGATTATGTGTATAAATTGATGACTTAGAACTTAAGACTATGTTTCCAGCAAAGCTCTTTGGCTCCGCATAATCATTGCACAACTGAAGATAAACATAGAGGGTAAACAGCAGAATAATTATGTCAAAGCAGTGCCTGAAAATCCATTGTAAATGCCCTTTGCACTATTTTAGACAATAACAACATTCTGTGACCAACCACCCTGTGCATACCCGAAGGATTAGCATATCATAGCCAAGTGTTAATAAACTGGAAGATGGAAAAATTAATTTAAATTAAAACATTTAACAAGGAAGGAAGGAATGAGGGAGGGAGGAAAGGAAAGGAGGGAAGGGGAGGGGAGGAGAGGGGAGAGAAGAGGAGAGGAGAGGAAGGAAGGAAGAAGAGAAGGAAGAAGGGAAGGAAAAAAAACCCACAGCCTATGAAGGACATTTGCAGGAAGATGATGGTAAACGGCCTCATGCTGTCTTGGAGACTATGACAAATGGATCAAAACTGGACACCCACTTTCTCAGCCACTACCACACACATTCCGAGCTCTCATTCTTGTGAGGCCAGTTCACAGAAAATGTTTTTATTTCTGTGACCCTGAGCATGACTCCCACTTTGCTGCATAAAGTATTTTCTGAGTGAACCTTCGCGGCCTTCCATGCTCATTAATCTCTACCACCTACCCACACATACTCCCACTCTCAAACTTCTTTTGTGATTGCCTACTATTTTTCTTTACCATTTTTTATTTAAAGTAAGATATTGAGTGTAGTCAGCTCATAATGTATAATTTGTCCTTGTGTGTAAATGCTTTCTTCGCCCTGTTCCATATTTCTCTCCCTATTCAAACTTAAAAATATTTCAGTGAATTAATAAAAGACCATAATTTAAGCTATCCCCTTGTCTCAAAATAAAGTCTATGTTTTTAAACCACATTAAGTAATGTCTCTGTGTTTAAATGGAGCTTAGGAAAATAGCATTTGACAACTTTTATTACTATAGGAAAAAGCTGACCCATACCCTTGTACAAATTGAGCTCTGAAGGTCAGAAGCCAAGTGCTTTTAATAACTTTTGAAGAGTAGGTAATCTCTGTTCACTTTGAAGACTGAAGTATGTACTAATTGCTTTTGTAAAGTGAAGGTGATGTTGCTGTAGTTAATGGGCCATGCAGTTGTATCCCGGGACATGTAATCCCAGTGTCTCATGTGGCTTAAGTTGCTGTTTTCATAACATACTCATTGTTTTTTGTTTCAATATCATTTGGTTAACACTTGGAATTGTTATCTTTGCTTCCCAAAAATCTTTTCTCAAAAAATATCTTTAGATGGTTTATCAATTAACTAATACCAAGATTATTTTACTAAATATTTTAAACATCCAAGATTCTCATGTATCTACCACTAACTTAAGTAATAAAACATTGCAGTTGCTGTTACAGCCCCGTGTGTGCCCCTCCTGGGTCATATTTCCCTCCTTCCCTCCTCTCCCGCTCCCCCTGAAGTTCTCCAGTCCTGAACTTAGAGTTTAATCACTCTCATACTGGCTTTATACTCGTTACACATTTAAGTGTCCCCAAACAATATTATTTTGCACATTTAAAAGTTTTAAGTGGCACCATACTGCAAATATCTTTCTGCAGCTGTCTTTGCTCAGAATTATATTTTTGATATTATTCGTGTTTGAACATAAAGTTCCTTATTCTGGGCTGGGCACAGTAGCTGACACCCGTAATCCCAGCACTGTGGGAGGCCGAGGTAGGTGGATGACCTGAGGTCAGGAGTTCGACACCAGCCTGGGCAACATGGTGAAACCCTGTCTCTACTAAAAATACAAAAAAAAATTAGCCAGGTATGGTGACTGCTGCCTGTAATCCCATCTACTCGGGAGGCTGAGGTAGCAGAATCGCTTGAACCCGGGAGGGAGAGGTTGCAGTGAGCCAAGATGGTGCTACTGCACTCCAGCCTGGGTGACAGAGCAAGACTCTGTCTCAATAAATAAATAAATAAATAAATAAATAAATAAAAAGCTTCTTATTCTTATTGCTGTCATACAAATATGCCCTAATTTACTTATTCATTATCCTGTTGAAAGGCATCTATGTTGTTTCCAACTATGTGCTTACATAAGTATTTGCTGTTATGAATATTATTGTCAATGTCTCTGTGCGCACATGGGTAGAAATTTTTCTGTGGTAGAGTAACTCATCTAAAGATGGAATTTCATAGTCTAAGATATGTACATCTTATATGGCCAAAGTTCAACATATATTACACATCCACCAATGGTATATTAGAATGCTAATCATTATAGAAAAAATAATTTTTCAAATGCTGTAAAAGTGGTAGAACATTTTCTTTAAAAAAACATAAAAATAAAAATGGTATGAATAAGATATTAACAAAGTCAAGTTTACATATTTTTATCTATTATATATACATATAAATTTATATATACATGCACATATATATTTATAAACACATATGTACAGATATAAATTTGTATTATATATCATATATAAATATATGACGAATAGTTTTTGAATTACTAACTGAATTCAGCAAAGACTGATGAATAAAGTTTGAAATGAAACACAAGTAAGTAATAAGTAATATTTCTCTTATCTTACTGTGGTTTCTTATACAGATCAAGCTAAAATGTAACTAAGTGTCTATTTAAAGATGATAATAACATAAAGTTCATTACTTGGGTATAAACACAGCTGAGGTAGGTGCTGAGGATAGGAAATGGAAAGAGCGACCATCTGAGAATTAGAAAAAGAAAAAAATGTAATTCAGAGATAACCACTTCACAGTAACTTATATTAAGTAACACTGATAATAATACCTAACACAATATTTCCTCCCTCCCAAAAAACTCTTGCAGGCTTCCACGGAGACCAAAGATTCCCTTGAACAAGTGGACAAACCTGCTGTAGGGACCCACTACTTGAATGTCATTGAAAAAGCAATCCTTTCCCCAAATATTGGATAAATTATCAAGTGGAGGAAGCATTAATTTGCCAAAATCAACATAGAATATATATTTTTATTCTACTCTATTAAATGCACTAGTAACACTTCATTTTTAAAATGTCTTCTATAAGCAAACCATCATGTCTTAGAATGATATGCATGTTAAAATCCAGTGTCTCTATCTCAGCATCTACTAAGAGAGATTCATAACTAGTGATGGTTATTCTGTTTTGAAGTTCAAACTACTGCCTGTGGAGATGATGACCTCTGTACTTGCATTCGTCATCCATCAAGTAGTCTTTCTTCTGATCATATTGGTAAGTTAGGAGCAATACACTTCATTATGTTTGAATGTTATCTTAAAAATGGTGGTTCATGATCCAGGCGCAGTGGCTCATGCCTGTAATCCCAGCACCTTGGGAGGCCGAGGCAGGAAGATCACTTGAGCCCAGGAGCTCAAGGCTGCAAGTGAGTTATGATTGTGCCACTGCACTCCTGCCTGAGTGCCAGGACAAGGCCTCATCTCTAAATAAAAATAAACAAAAGATAAAAATATGGTTCAATCAACTCCACATAGTTTCCTGGCAATATTGGTGAATTTGAGATTTTCTTAGTTAAATGACCTCTTTTCATTTTACTAAGTTGTCCATGTATCATTGCTTTAGAATGTCAAGTCCAGAAGGACACAAGTCAAACTTCGTAAAAAAAAAAAAATTGAGAGTTTTCCTTAGGATCACGTGATTATCAATTTTCCTCCTAATTTTAATGGCTTTTATCATTTCTTATGAAATATGTTCCCCTTGAGCAAGTCTTTAAAATTGTTCTCTTCTTCAAAATATAAACCCCTATCTTTTTTTTAAGTCTCCTAAGTTCAGTTAGAACTTCTCTCTAATAATTACCCCATTTGTGTCCTTCATTTACATATTCAGTCACAACCAATACAGAAATTATTTTATTTTTAGCACACACCATAATGTGACATTTAGAACTCACACTGTCCCTTACTACACAGTAGCACTCTTACCCCAAGAGAGGGGTCAAAGAAGAAAATATAACAAGGGTTTTTAAGCTGATTTTTTTGAGACTCAGAAAGAAGGTGAGATTGACATTTTGCCTCAACTTCTTCATATCTAAGCTAAACACCTATTAGACACATTCAATGCTTAGAGCTTTTCCTGAATTATTATTTAATGCTTAATAACTCTGTGAAGTAGATTCTGTTATCATCCTTGTTTTACAAATGCTGAAACATGTCCTGAAAGTTTAAGTATCTTGCTCCAAATCACATAACATGTCAAAAATTGAGCTTTTTGTCTTTCCAACAAAACTTGTCTTTTTCATCTCCATTCACAGCAGTTAGTTTTGTCTCCTCTCTTCTTTCATACCCTACATTTCTTCCATCAGCCAATCCTATCATCTGTACCTGCAAATGCATCTAGACGCTGACCACTTGGCACCACCCTCACTGCCACCACCCTGGGCCAAGACACGGTTGCCTCGCACCTGTGTTCTTACAGTCACTCCTCAACTGGCCTCCCCACCTCCACCCTTGCCCCACCTCCTGTAATTCATTCCAAACATGACGACCAGAGTGATATTTATAAACATAAACTATATCCTGTCACTCCTCAACTCAAAACCCTCCAATATCTTTCCCTCACACAATAAAATCCCTTCTATGGCCAAGAAGTCTCTGCCTGACCTGGGGCCTACCTACTCTTCCCACTTCACCTTCTTCTATCCTTTCCCATTCTATACACTCTGGCCTCTTTGCTGTTCATGACAATTGCTGTTCCCTCATCTTGAAAAATTCTTTTCCCAGACAGTCACATGGCTCTCTCCCTTACTTTGTCCAGGTCTCTGCTGAAATGTTACCTCTACTGAGAGGCCAGTCAGGACCACTCTATTAAAATGGCATTCTCCTCTGAACCAATTGCGATCCACTTCTGGCATGTTACATGTGTTTGTTTAGTGTCTCTCTGTCCTTTCAGAATGTAAGTTCCCCTGTGAGGCCAGGAACTTAGTAATTGTGCATCTTCATATTCCTAGTGCTTAGAAACGTGCCTGACACATTAGTCTTTGTTGAATGACTTAATCAACGGACATGTATATAAACCAAAAGGCATACACACAGATTGCCAAATGCAAGAATACATATATTAACATTATATGGTAAATTATGCAAGCACACCTTCTAGAGAACCAACTAAAAGATAAAATAGATATTGGGAATTTGAGGCAAAGCATCTATCTCACATTTTTTCTGAATCAATCAAAATACCCAGAAGCTATTTGAATCAGTTACCCCTCCCTTATGTATCACATACATTTTTTTCTTAAGCTATCTCTAAATTATGTTCTTTCTTCTATGTTGCTAATTGCTGAAACTCAAAGTACCATATATATAAATGATATAATAGTTACACTTTTATCCTTCCAGCATCAGTTGGATATTTCTTCCTTCCTTTCTTTTTCTTTCCTCCTATCTTGTCCTATCCTCACCTTTAAACTCTATTTCTATATTTCCAACTGTCTATTGGACATTTTCCAGTAGATGGGTATCATGCAACTTCACATTAAAATGGAATTAACTTCATTATCTCCACAATTAACTTCATTATCTATTCTTTCCTATCCATTCATCTTCTACAGGTGGCCTTACCTCTCCTTCATGCCTCATGTGAAGTTAATCACAAAATCCTGTCCTGTCCACCTTCTGTGTGTCTCTGCGTCTGCCTTTCCTTTTTAGTTCTACAACCACTGTGAAGGCACAAACTGCCATCATTCTTACCTAAAGTTAGGATCTTCTGAGCTTGTCTCTATGACCTTAACATCTTCCACTTCAATCCATCATTCATTCCACTGCCCTCTTCACTGTTTCACTGTTTTTGCTCAGAAACGATCAAGATCATGCAATTTCCAGGCATATCAAACCAAAGCACCTCTACCTGCTTGGGAAGATTTTCTGTTATCTGGAAAGGTTCTATTTAGCCATTCCTGTCTCCTTGCTGTTCCGCTAAAGCACTGTGTTCATTCCTCCTCTGCTGTTTGTGTGTTTTCTTTAACAAATGTACCATGATCCCCTTCATCCAAATTCCTTCTGCTTTTCATTTCTCCTGCTCTTGTAATGTCTAGAACAATCTCAACCTTTACTGATGTCCATTTCATCTGAAGTCTTATAGCACTTACTGATTTTTTTAAGTTTGTAATTACATGCTTATTTTTATTTCTATTTTTGGCTGCTATTTCATATTTTAGCCTTCTTCACCTAAGTAGATAGGAATACACTTAAACAGAAAAAAAAAAACCCATCTGTTGTACTTGTATATAGTGCTGGTATGCACCCTCATAGCTACCAGTGTTGTTTTTTTTCAGGCTGCATAACACACACCAGTTCAAATAAGCCAACATTTCTATTGCTTTCTCAGATGAAACAAGTCTACATTTCTCAGAAGAACCAAGCCTACAATTTAAGTAGGGCAGGTGGAAAAGAAATGAAGGAAATAAGACAGATTTGGAGAAGCTGTGAAAATATAAAAGACTGTAGTATCTTTATTGTAAAAAAAAATGTTAATAATAAAGCTCTTCTTCCTCACACCCCATAGACAGGTGGATTTATCATACAGCTGATGAACTTTCAGGATCTATCATTTGCATTGACTCTTCCAAGGCCCTAAGGGAGCCTTAGCACTCTGTCCGGGTGTTTTTGTAAAATCTGTAAAATTAAGATCGTGTAAAATTTTAAGTGATTAAAATTCAAATCACTGTGGTTCATTATGATTCACAGCACTGGATAGTCTGTGGGAAATTTTGCATTTATAATTTATTGTGTTGGATGGCCTTGGGGCGGCCAAGTCCTTTTGCATTTATTTTTCATGTCAGGTGCCACTGGAGTGATGGAGTGGGTATTTCATAATTGTAATTTTTAATCTTTTGATTTTCTCTTTTTTTTTTTTTTTTTTTTCTTGAGACGGAGTTTCACTGCGTTGCCCAGGCTGGAGTGCAATGGTGTGATCTCGGCTCACTGCAACCTCCGCCTCCCGGGTTCACGCCATTCTCCTGCCTCAGCCTCCAGAGTAGCTGGGAGTACAGGCGCCCGCCACCACGCACGGCTAATTTTTTGTATTTTTAGTAGAGATGGGGTTTCACCGTGTTAGCCAGGATGGTCTCGATCTCCTGACCTCGTGATCCACCCGCCTCGGCCTCCCAAAGTGCTGGGATTACAGGCGTGAGCCACCGCGCCCGGCCTAATTTTCTCTCTGTTTTCTTACTTGAAAATGAAATTGAGTATTCTAGAGTCTAGCTCCAGACAGTCTCCCACCCATATGAGAAATAACAGACCCCCGTACAAACAGGAAATGAAATAGAAAGATAGAAACTAATCTTCATGTAGGACATACTATGTTCCACAGGCTACATAGGCCATTGATACTTTGAAGTACTGCAACAACCAACTTACAGCAGATTTCATCTTCCGCAATTACAAAAGAGAAAACTCAAGCTCAAAATAATAGGTAACTGGTTAAAAGTCACATGACCAGTAAGAACTTAAATGTGGATGTGAGCTTAATTCCCCCCAATCCAAAGTCCATTGTGTTCTTGTAACCTTAGAGGGTTTAAGTGAAAATCAGGAAGCAGATATTATAAGTAAATGGGAATATATATGGGTAACTATTTTTAGAAACAAAAATCTAAATTCTCTCCTATCTTCCTATGTTTTTCAGAGCCTATTCTTAAACAAATAGTAAAAATATGATTACTTTCCTGTACTTCTCTGTATTCTGTTGATCTATTACTTCAAGAGATTCAGAGTAAAGCCGCAGTTTCCTTAGTGAAGTCGAGGATTTACAATTTGTCAGTCCCTAAAGAAGAATGTGAAGGAGGGGGTATTTGAAAGATCTGAAGAGTTCCGAGTGTGACGCTTAGACTGTTAATCTTCAGGGACTGGAATGTTTTGTTTCTCTTACCCTTGCACTTGTGATTTGCTGGGTGATTCAAGTTGAGATAGCAGCCACTCTAAAACACTACAAGGATTGAAACTTGCTGTGTTTAAGTAGTTACTTAATTGTGGCTCCTTGCTACTTTATAGCCTTGGAGAAGTCCGCTGTTGGTACTTACATGTATTTTATTTCAAGTTGGCTTTTGATGACTTCCCGCTTATAATTTCCTAGGCACTTTTCTAGCTAGAAAACAGCTTTTTCATTGCTTTGATAAAATGCATACAAAGCTTGCTCCTGACTAAAGATGTTATGAGACAGAGAGAGAGATTGCTATGAAGTTCCCATGCACTCCAGCAAGGACAGCTGGTTAGGATTAGAACATTCTACCTTCAGCATGCTGGTTTCCCACAGACTTTATTGTGTTTATGGTTTTTTTTTTTTTCTTCTTTTCCGTAGTTGACATAAACAAAGTCAACATCATATTCTGAGTAGAGTTAGCACTCTTGATGTAATCAGGAAATTCCACTAAATAATTTTTAATGTTGAATACAGCAAACATTTTATTAGTCGAGAATCTGCATTTTAATCAGCTCATACATTCTCATGATGACTGACACGTATAAAATAGATTATATTGGTCAAGATCATCTCTACCAATAGCTATAGTGATATTCACTTGTTCAATGCACATGTCAGAATTGTTGCTTTTTTTTTTTTTTTTTTTCCTGAGACAGGGTATTGCTCTGTCACCCAGGCTACTGTGCAGTGGTATGATCATGGCTCACTGTAGTCTTGAACCCTGGGGCTCAAGTGATCCACCTAAATCAGCCTCCTGAGTAGCTAGGACTACAGGTATGCACCACCTTGCTCAGCTGATTTTTTAACTTTTTTGTAGAGACAGGGTCTCATTATGTTGCCCAGGTTGGTTTCAAATGCCTTTTTTTTTTATGATAAGCATATGTAGTCCCGGGAACTGTGTGAAATTCTAGTAAAGAACATGATTTTGTGACACAAGTCATGACCACCATGGACAACTATTTGTGGCATCCTGATTGCAGTGCTACAGAAGTTTAGGGTGGAACTTGGTCTCGATCATATCTTCCAATAAAAACAAGACAGTGCACAGATTGCAAATAAAAAAGAGGGTCAGAGGCTGCAAAATGCATATAAAGAATAGCCTTCACTCAGCACACTAATAGTATGTACTGGTAGTTACAATTACTCCAAGGCAGTTCTGCGTATCTCCCAAGATCCTGCCTCTGCCTTTTTTTTTTTTTTTTTTTTAAGTTCTGGGATACATGTGCAGAACTTACAGGTTTGTTACATAGGTATACACGTGCCATGGTGGTTTGCTGCACCCATCAACCCATCATCTAGGGTTTAAGATCTGCATGCCTTAGGTATTTGTCTTAATGCTCTCCCTTCCCTTGCCCCCACCCGCCAACAGGCCCCAGTGTGTGATGTTCCCCTCCCTGTGTCCATGTGTTCTCATTGTTCAACTCCCACTTATGAGTGAGAATATGCAGTGTTTGGTTTTCTGTTCCTGTGTTAGTTTGCTGAGAATGATGGTTTCCAGCTTCATTCATGTCCCTGCAAAGGACATGAACTCATTCCTTTTTATGGCTGCATAGTATATTCCATGGTGTATATGTGCCACATTTTCTTTATCCAGTCTATCACTGATGGACATTTGAGTTGGTTCCAAGTCTTTGCTATTGTGAATAGTGTTGCAATAAACATACGTGTGCGTGTGTCTTTATAGTAGAATGATTTATAATCCTTTGGGTATATACCCAGGAATGGGATTGCTGGGTCAATAACTAGTTCAACCACTTTAAAAATCAGTGACAAGAAAAGTCATTGTTCTTGCAATAATTTAGTCTATGTAAAACCTTGTTTGAGTTCCTAGAAAGTTTGAAAGCTTGAGTTACGTAGTAACAACTACTGTACATTTAATAACTTATCAACCTCCTTTAGGATTTTTTTGGCCATATATTTATTTCATTCATTCAATTGAAAATCATGAGCCCAGAAGTCTACCTTGTAAACCTTAGTCTGGGTCTCAACTAGCTCTTGAGACCTTGGGAAATTCAGTAATAATCTACATCATCTTTTTGTTCCTCATCTGTAGAGATGGGGTTAAATTATGTTATCTCTAAATTTTCTTCAAACCCAAATATGCTATGTGCCTAGATATTTGTTCATTACTATACTGTGTTGTAGCAAAATGATATAGCATACAGGCCCTGCTTTCAAGACTGGTACATTAAACAATAAAAAGGGCAATGGGCAATATTCTTTCATTTAACAAATATTAAGTGAGTACTTCTTATATGTTAGGCACTCTGCCAATTGCTGCAAAGACGAGCGTGGATAGTAACTGCTGTGGGCATTACAAAGAAGCTATACTGGTATTGGACGGAAAGTGATCATGACAGAGGTGGGGTGAGATTGGGTTAATAAATTCAGGCAGAAGTAGGAGAGAAGGGAACAGCATGAATCCTGGTGCAGGGTGCAGAGACAGTGAAAGCTGGCCATGCAAGGTCAACAAATCCAGAGTCATCTTGCTTGGCTAAAGTAGAAAGCTGTAGTTTTCAACCCTCACATCTGTTCATTTACTATTTTTTTCTTTCATTCCATTCATTTCATTCATTCATATATTCAAAAACTATTTGCTGAGTACTTAAGTTAGTGGATATGAGGATACAGAGATGGGCAAGACTTATCCCTGCCTTTTAAATGACAATAATGTCATTTATGGAGTTCCTTTTATATAGCAGACACTGCTATAGGCTTTTATACATTTATTACTGATTTGCACAAATTACAATGAGGTATAGGTCTTACTATCCCCATTTGATAATTAACAAAATTGACACTTAAGAGTACCTTAGGCATGGCTCAGTGGCTCATGCCTGTAATCCCAGCACTTTGGGAAGCCTAGGTGGGCAGATCACTTGAGGTCAGGAGTTCGAGACCAGCCTGGCAAACATGGCAGAAACCCATCTCTACTTAAAAAGTTAGCTGGGCGTGGTGGCACGCACCTGTAATCCCAGCTACTGGGGAGGCTGAGGCAGGAGAATCACTTGAACCCAGGAGGCAGAGGTTGCAGTGAGCCGAGATTGCGCCACTGCACTCAAGCCTGGGCAACAGAGTGGGACTCCATCTCAAAAAAAATAAGAAAAAAGAAAAAAAAAGAGTACTTTAAATAACTCTTCCAAGATCATATAGTAACTCAAGGAGTCAGAATTAAAATCCAGATCCCCAATTTCCAGGATCGGTGCCCTTAACCATCACTATTGTGCCTTCTGAGTATTTGTTAAACTAAATATTTTGTTAAATGCTAAATGATTTTTAATCATATCACACACCAACACATGGAACATGTACTATGCATGAAACTTTTATCTATTGAGTAAGTCAGAAATCTATACCCTTTCCCTACTCTCAGATATCCTTTTTTTAACTGTGATTTGGATCTTTCTGTCATTCTTTAGTCAGTAGTTTCCAATAATATCTGACAACTGGGGGTGGGGGTGGGTTAGGATAGAGATAATGAAATTTTGTTCCTTTTTATTTCAGTCATCAAAGATAAGCCCTGTGGCATTAGCTTGGTTTATTATGCAACTGTGGAAGATCTAGATGGCATCAATTGTATTCATGCAATATAATGATCAAAAGTGGAAAGATATAGGTTATAGTTTGTTTCCATCTGCATTCTAATAAATTTTCTCTTGTTCTTCAACGATCTGGAGATGTGAAAGGGTACACATAGAAAACAGAAACCCAGAAGTTCATCCTTGCAGGCTACAACTGGGAAAGGCAGCCGGCCCCTGAGTGGGTAGGAGGCGTGTTCTGGCCTGTGTCCCTACATCTCTTAAAGCTCAAGACTAGTTACTTCTCATTTTTATAGTCACAGTTTTCCCCGTTGCTATTCTTTTCAAGTGCTTTTTGTTCTTTTCTTTATTCTTTTTTTTTTTAATTTTATTTAGGGGGTCGGGTTGGGGTGGGGGAAAGGAGGGAGAAGGATTTCCAGGGAGATGACCACAACATTCCGAGAAGATGAATACACCTATAACCCTAAAGCAGGTCTCCTAAATATTTGGTAGACTGCTTATATCCCTAAGCTGTTATGTCTTCAAGGATTTTTGGAAAAAGGATTTTGCCAATTAAAAGAGACCACATTCACCCAAACGTTAGATGGTTACTCTAGTTAACATCTGGGCTGCGTCCTGACGTCAGGGCTGTGGTGATGAAGTCCAGATGTTATAACTTAACAGTGTTTTTGTTACTCCTAAGCATTTGCTGCCTTTGAGTTTTTTTCCCCAGACTCTAATTTACTAATACATGAAGGTTATTAAAAAAGAGGGGGAAATGAAATTAGCATATGGCATTGACTCAGACTAACTGAATTCCTCCTCTTCCTAAGCCCACTCTCCAGCCATCACAGGATGTGCAGCCTGGGGAAAGCAGGCTCCAGGACTTGCTAAGATTAAGGTGTTTGCATTCAATTGCTATTTTCGGTTAAAACAGGTGAGATGATTTACTAAGTCTTTTCAGTTTAGTATGATATGGTAAGGAAACAGAAAAAGGAATAAAATCAATTGTAAATATTCCACATTTTTGATAGCTGTTTTCCCTTTAATCTGAATTTTGTGTCATATGTCCATGTGCATACACCTATGCACATATCTAAACACCACACATACAATCACACACACACACACACACATAATATGTATTTTTCTAGAGGAGAACCACCACTTACACAAGAAGCCATGTTAAAGCAAGTCCTCTCACAATGAACGAGGACATCCAATGACAATTTTTAAAAAGGCATTGTTACTCTCTGACATCTGTGCAAGAAGCAAAGAAAATTACCAAGAACAGCTTCTTCCTTCAAATCTCATTTTAGATCTATGTCTATTAATTTATCTACAAAATTTGCATGACTATTCTTATTTTTAACTGATTTCACTTCTTATGCTAATGAATTCCATATGAGCTTTCTTACTTGATATTAATGGCTCAACTTTAGTTCTTACACCAGTCCAGGAGTTAACCCAAATTCTGTGTATGTTATTGCAAGTTTTGGGGACTTGATCATACGATGGCTTCTCATTTCCCTTAATCCACTGGATTACTGTTTGTGAACCTATTCTAGCTTCATTATAATGTATTTTAAGGTACATGATACTTTAACAGTGAACACAGAAGGGTAGGATTAGCTTTCTTGTTTGGGTTCTTGATAAAACTTAATGTTTTCTATAAATAAGTTCTGAGCCAATTTAATAGACATGTGGCTATAGGTCAAGACACTCTTCTTCCTCCCTTTCCTGTGTCATTACTATTTGGTCAGAGACCTTAAGAGGGCACGTGTAATGGAACAGTTCTTTGGAGCATGACGTAAATCTTTTGCTCATTTTTCCACATGATGATCTTTCAAATATTTGAAAGCAAGCAAGAGAGATATCCTCTTAAACTCCAGGTTATATATCCATTATTGCAACATTTTCTTACTGAGAAAGATTTCTAAACAGTCCCTTCTAGATACTTTCTAGTATTTTAATAGCCCTTAGTAAATAAGATACTATACATCTGCTCTGAGCAAGGTAGAATACAGTAAGATTTTTTCTTCCCTTATTCTAAACCATATGACCGTATTAACAGCCTATAACAGCAACATATCTGTTGTCTTTGTATCACCTATACCGCACTGATGGTTCATGTTAAGCTTCTTAACAATGAACAAGAGTTCTTAGACCTTCCCTCTCGTGCAGCAGGGTTTGGAGGTCTTTCTGAAGCCTAAACGTGAGTGGCCCTTTGTCGCAGTTATATCTAATGCTGCTCATTTTACATACTCCTCTCTTTACCCATCACTGGAGACTACTGAGATAATTCTGATTCCTTCTCTCTTCATATATTTGTTCTTTGTCTTAGTTTTGTGACACCCATAGATTTTATAAGCATGTCACTTGGGACTTTTAATCAAGGACTTTTTATTTAATTTAATCAAAATGTTACTTAGGACAAGTTCAATGACAAAATTAGAGAATTTTATCCAGGCACACATCCATATCCAGTCAATAATCAACAGTCTTAAAGGTCACTTGCTCCACAAAAATATGACTTTATTCAATGTCCCAGCATCTGTCCTGTCTAAAAGAATATCACTAAAGCTTAGTAAAATGCTTTTCTGGTATCCCATTTCCCTTATGTAACTTTATAAAAATGTATATTATTAAGAAATTATTTTTCATCTAATTCATTCATGTTTCAATACTTTGGACCCAACTATGTTGTCTCTAATAATAATTATTATAGCTTATATTTGTATAGTGCTTAAACATAAATAACCCTCATGGAATACTTTCAAACAGATTAGGGAAAGATATGGGATTATCCCCCATTTTAAAGATGAAGAAACTTTGGTTCAGAGAGGTGACTAGAATTTAGATCTCATGATTTTGAGCTCAGTTATTTTTATTTCCATGACCCCACAGCTGACAAGATTCAATTGTATTTTACTCACATAGTCAGGTACTCAATGAATATTTTTGAATAGATGGATAAATTTATCCAAAAGGTCCTGTATCCAAGGACCTTGCCTCAATGCAGTTTGTCATGTAAAAGAGGTGGAAAGTTGTTGCCAGAATAAAAACTAAAATTATAAATAAAATATATAATTTTTACAGACTTTATATATGGCCCATACAATGATTAGGACTATATTTCCCAAATCCCAAATTGATACCAGATTGGTATCAATCCAGTACGAAATTGCCAATAATCAGCAGCAAAATGAGAAAAACAAGGGCAATTGCTATGGGCTGAATTGTAATTTCCCACCCTGCCCCATCAGCCTGCAGTTTATATGTTAAAGCTCTAACCCCGATGTTACTGTGTTAGGAGATAATTGGGGTAAGTGGAAGGTATAAGGAGGTAAGTGAGGTTAAATGAGGTCATAAGGGTGGGGCCCTAAGCCAATAAGAATAGTGTCCTCACAAGAAGAGAAAGAGCCAGTAGGAGAGTGCACATAGAAAGGAAAGGCCATGTGAGAAGACAAGAAGGTGGCTGTCTATAAGCCAGGGAGAGAGGCCTCACCAGATACCAACCTTCAGGGTACCTTGATCTTGGACTTTCAAGTCCAGCACTGTGAAAAAACCACTGAATCTGTGGCATTCTGTTATGGCAGCCCCAGTAGACTTACACAGCAATGCACTGAATTTTCTTTTAGTATTAAATGTAGTCATCTTAAAGCCTTATCCATTATTCTATCCTTCTTGCTTTTGTATTATTAAAATATCCTCACTCTTATGAAATTATGGTAATAATAGAAGCTTGTTTGGGAAGATGTGGACTAAAGTAAGTACTTTATTTTTTCTTTCTCTCTCTCTCTTTCTTTTTTTCTCATTAATAGCAACTTCCACTCTGCTTAAATACATGCTTAAATCTCTTCTATCCTGGCATTCTGTTATGGGAGCCCCAGTAGACTTACACAGCAATGCACTGAACTTTCTTATAGTATTAAATTTATTCAACTTAAAGCCTTATCGTTATTCAGTCTTTATTGCTTTGGTATTATTAAAATATCCTCAGTCTTATGAAACTATGGTGATAATACAAGCTAGTTTGGGATGATGTGGATTAAAGTAAGTACTTTACTCCAGAATTACCATAACAATAATTACCTATCTAATCCTATGCCTTTAAGGGTTTATAAATTTTATCAGTCTAGGACATCCAGAACTCTAGAAGTCATTGGAAAAGAGCATGGGAGTGAAGAAATGATACTGTGTGGGCCAGCTGACTTCAACCAGGAGAACTCTTTGAACTATAGGGAACTCTCCAAGGTCTTTGCAGAAGCTTAGTGGAGCAGATGGGGACAATATTGTTCTATCAGAAAGCAGCAGTATGTTGGTTAAAAAGTAATCAAATTATATGAAAGCAATAAAGAGGCAATATGAATGGAGAGTCATTTGGTAGAAGTTTATATGGAAATATTTATTTAACAAGTACGTATTGATCCTATTCCATGTTCCAGGGATTGTGCCAGGCAATGGGGACACAACAATGAATGCAATCCATTCCACGCCCTGAAGGGTCTCACTGTCCAGTACTGGAATAGAGCAAGGGGACGTCAGTGATGGAAGTGGCCACAATGTCCCAAAGCACTTCAAGGGAGAGGCCCCCCAAGCCATCCTGGAGGGTTCTGGCAGGCAAAAACAATTCAGGAAGAGTGGATGACAGGTGGAAAGACAAGATATGGGCAAGTGTGTGAAGGAAGTGGTAACCTGGGTGGAGACTTGTCACATGGAGACATTCTCCTGAGAATGAAAAAGAAGGATCAATGGGGATAATTTAGGATGGGAAAGGATGGGTTTATGGTATGTTGTGGTTTTCTGTTCATTGTTGTTCTTGTGATTTTGGTTTGGGTTGTTTCTTAATCAGGATGGAAGAGACTTTAGCATGTATTTAAGCAGAGGGAACGTTGCTGTAAAAGAGAAGACAGAAAGAGAAAGAGAGAGAAAGGAAGAAATAGGTTGGAAGTCTGAGAAAGGAATAAGAAAATTGTTGAATCACTAATTCAGAAGACTGTGTGAAAGGCACAAGTGAAGAGAGCCTTGGCTAGGAGGAGGAACCACCCTGAGACTGATAGAAATGGGATCACGGTGGCAGTGGGTACCATGACAAGGAGTGCCTGGAAGCTGAGATAGAGGATACCAATAGTCTCAACTCTCTTAATGCAGTGGAGACAATACAGTCTGCTGAAAATGAGTCAGGGTGGCCGGACGTGGTGGCTCACACTTGTAATCCCAGCACTTTGAGAGGCTGAGGCGGGTGGATTGCCTGAAGTCAAGAGTTGGAGACCAGCCTGGCCGACATGGTGAAACTCGTCTCTACTAAAAATACAAAACAAATAGTCAGATGTGGTTGCAGGTGCCTGTAATCCCAGCTACTCAGGAGGCTGAGGCAGGAGAACCGCTTGAACCCAGGAGGCAGAGGTTGCAGTGAGCGAAGATCGCGCCATTGCACTCCAGCCTGGGCAACAAGAGCGAGACTTTGTCTCAAAGGAAAAAAAAGAAAAACGAAGGTTTGAGATGAGTGGGGAAAGTTTAGAGGCATCACTGAGGAATGGAAAGTGAGGAGTCTAAGAATGAGTAAAATACCCCTCTGAGGTTAGGGAGTAAATGAGTAAAATAGCCCCTCTGAGGTTTGGGAGTTCCAATTGGTAATGATTTCTATCTGCAAAGCTGTGGAAGTTTCTACAGTGGTAATTAGTCATCCCAGGGAGGGAAAAAAAAGGTGAATTGCAGCTTTAATTCAATGTGGAGGTTTTCCTGGTTGAAGATATTGAGAAGCCAGGATACCAGGGAATGGAGAATGCGTGTTCAAGAGTAAAAGACTGGCTCCACCCAGCTGTGGAGAGGGAGACATGGGATGGAAGGATGAGATCAGAATGCGTTTTCAGGGTTGAGGACTTCTGAAGGAAGCACCCCAGGGGATAAAAAGATCCAGACTGCTGCTCAGTGATGGTGCTGGAATTGCAGGGTTACACCATGTGGGGGGTGTCCGCAGAGACTTTGCCTCCCACGGTGAGGCTGCCAAGGTTGGAGTTAAAGGGAAGTATATGAACAAAAGGCTAGAATCTTTAATAAATAAGGGGGAGTAACTGGGGATTGGATTGACATGAACTTGACGGCCTCACTTCAAAAGAGTTGGGAGAATAAGGATTGGGAAACAGCTCAGAGTCAGAGAGTCTTTCTCAGAGTCAGAGAGTCTTTCTTCCTGCAACTAACCTAATAGAATATGGAAGCAAAATGAGGCTTCAGGAAAAGAGGTTTGCTAAGGGGGAAGCCAAGTCTCCAATAGGACCAACAGGTGCAGAAGCTGCTGCAAAAACTGTGGATATAAGAGAGTGTGTTATCAATTAAATATGATGTCAATGGTACAGAGAAAGGGGCTGGGAAGAGAAGGGGAGCAAAGAAACAGGAGCAAAGGAGTGCTGGACAACATCACAAGGAAGTGGTTCATTTAACAACTGGGCAGCTTCCCTGTGCAAAAGCACACTGAGGACTGAGACTAACCAGGTGCCTGCTTTCCTGGAGCTTCAGTTCCAAATAACTTGCACTGTGTTTTGTAACTAAACATTGTAGACAGCCGATGCATGGTTTCAAGCTGTAAAACTACAGCTAATCATTTACATATTGTTTATTAGACTCACTGTAAACAACATCCCATTAAAATGAATATAGAACTGAAAAATGCTTTTAACTTTGAGCGGTTATGGATAGCACTATGGGGCCAGCTATAATATTAGTAAAATATCACATGGTTTGGTTAGGAAATTCTTGTAGCACGATGGTGAGCCTCAAGTCTATGATAATCAGCCTGGAAGATAAAGCAGTTCTATTTTTTGCACTTGTTTGATCATATTTTCCACATATCTTCAAAGACAGGCATTTGCATGGTGTTAGGGCAGTTAAGCATAGTGGTTATGGGAAACGGTATCATGCGACAATTGAGAGCATGGATCTTGGAGATAAACCTGTGGGATTTAGATCTCCATTCTGTGCTTAGAATGTAGGGAATTATGGGCAGGATACTTAACCTCTCTGGGCTTTGGTGTCCTCACCTGTAAAATGGAAAGGATATGAATACATCTGTCTCATGAGGTTGTTGCAAGAATTAAATGAGTCACTAAAAATAAAGCACTTAGAATGCTGCCTGGCACACTGGAAGTCCTAAATAATTGTTAACAACTACCATAATTGCATAGAGCATGCCACTCTTTGAAAGGTATTGTGTCTTCTATAGTTGATACTGCTTTGCAAAGTGTTGGCTGTACTAGTTTTGCAATTGTACTTCTGACCTAGTAACAACTGTGCCAAATTGCACAAGCAGATAGTAATGTCTGGCAGTGTCTGAAGTTTTCACTGCTAATGGAACAACTGGAACTGACTTTTACTTGGCATCCAACCAATGAATTCTTGCCATCATTTCAGCAATATTTTTGCCTTTTGTCTCTAATATTTTCAGTGGCCATGCACTAAATACTTATAAAAAGCAGCTTATTTCTTTCTGGGCAATAGGTGACGCTCCTTACAATGTGGTTGAGAGCACAGGATGGCATTCTTGTTAACAGAGGAGTCTGTTTCTGCCTGTATTTAAGAGAGACACTCAGTCTGGGTTTTGCTCATTACAGTTTTGCAATCCAGGGTCACTTCTAGGTGGGGCACTCTACTGACAACAAAACAAGCATGAACAGTATTTATGATCTAAATGATGGGGTGCATTGGCCTTATGATACTGCTTTATTCATTCAACAAATATTAGAAATATGTCTCAGATCCTCTGCTAGATCCTGGGTGACAGCCCTACTCTGTAGACTATCTCCAGATAGTTAAATAGGAACTCAGATAAATGTGATAAAGATGTTAGTGAAGCAATGGCATGCAAGTGGGTGTCAGGTGATGGAATGTGGTCGCGTAGAAAAAAAAAAAAGCATTTGTCGTACTATACCTTTGTAGGTATCTTTATTATGAACCTGATGAGAAACTGCATTGATATGAATTGCTGTGAACTCTTCATTTTCAAATGCTTTCTGAGCATCAAATTCTATTTCAGATGATCACACATACACACACACAGTCATACTCTCTCCTTCTCTCTCCGTAAGAATGCCACATGAGTGAATCTACGCAGAAAAAAGAAAACCACTCTATATGTTGAAACATTAATAACTTCACACTACACTAATAGTATCATCATTGACACCTTAATGCCTAATTTTCTTTTGGGCCAATCAATCTCATCTGAACAGTTACCTGGCAATCTTATAAAATAAAAGAAGTGTAAGATATTTAAAAGACGTGCTTTCTGACTTTTAAAATCAAAGTAATTTTCCTCCAAATGAAAAATATTCCATAAATAAAAATGTGTATTTAATTCAATTCCTTCCTGCCTTTAACTCGCCATTATTGCAAACAGCCTCTAAAACTCTTCTCAGTTCTAGGTGGAAGTGTTGCTGGACTCTCTAAGTCAGCCCCATTGCCTTCTGTAATATTATGTTGTCTCAGGACCACCACCCTGGTTCATGTTTTATACTTTTCTTCAGCTTGTTTAAAGTGTTCTTGTTTAAAGCATTTTAAAATAGTTTGTGGCTGGGCATGGTGTCTAACACCTGTAATCCCAGCACTTTGAGGGGTTGAGGCGGGTGAATCACTTGAGGTCAGGAGTTCAAGACCAGCCTGTCCAACATGGTGAAACTGCATCTCTACTAAAAATACAAAAAATTAGCCGGGAGTGGTGGTGGGCACCTGTAATCCCAGCTACATGGGAGGCTGAGGCAAGAGAATCGCTTGAACCCAGGGAGCTGAGGTTGTAGTGAGCTGAGATCATGCCACTGCACTCCAGCCTGGGTGACAGAGTGAGCTCTGTCTCAAAAAACAAATAAAATAAGAAATAATAAAATAATAAAAAAATTTTAAAAGTTTGCATTTATCTAAACAATTTCTGATGATGGGAGTGGTACAGTATCTTAACGTGGATTTCCCTAAAGAAAAGTCCCTGAGACAAAGATTCAGGTGGAGGTAGCTCATTTAGAATGTGTTCCCAGGAGGCACAAGGAAGAATGAGAGGGTGAGAGGAAGAGCCAATAAAGGGTTAATGAGCAGATTTCTGCTGCGGCTGTGCATTGTTTTACTATTGCTGCAAAACCACCTCAAAACCTAGTGGTGTAAAACAACCACTTATTGTGCTCACAGCTTCTGTGGGTCAGAATTGGGATAGGCACAGAGTGCCTCTGCTACACAATGTCCGGGATATTGGCCAGGAGAGTTTCAAAGGCTAGGGTTGCAAGACAGCTAGAGGCCAGAATCACATAGAGGTGTCTTTAGTGCCTGCTGGTTGATGCAGACACCCCAGTGGGGCCTCAACGGAGCACCTACACCTGGCCTCTTCCTATAGCCTGGGCTTCCTCACAGTGTGGCCACCTCAGGGCAGTCAGACCTCTTAAAACAAGGCCCCCAAAACAAACGTCCCAGGGAACAAGAAAAACTGGCATCACTTCTTTGACCTAACCTTAGAAATCACACAGCTACATTCTGTTGGTTACAAGCAAGTGATACTCCTGCCTTAACATAAGGGGTGGAAAAAAATAAAGCTCAACTCTTGAAGGAAGTTATGTCAAAGAATTTCCAGCATTTGTTCTAGAAACAAAAACAAGAACAACAAAATGTTGGCATAGTATAAGCAACCGTCTTCCTTCTTGCCTGGAATGGTTAAAGTGAGTGAAGAGGTGTGAGAGGGAATATGAATTAACAGACAATTACAATATACTATAACATACAGGTGATAAGAAACAAATATGTCGAAACTATAATTGGATCACAGTAGAGGGGCATGTTTATCTTGGCCAGGAGATTCAGGAAAGGTGGGTGAGAGTCCATCAGATGAAGAAACGTAGGGAAGAGATTTTTAAGTGGAAGGAATAAAAGCAATCTCTTGGTGTGTGCAATTTGGTAAAGTGGGAGGAGGAGAGTGGCAGATAAATGTGGAAAGGAGGCCAAGAGTGGTGGCTCATGCCTGTAATCCCAGCACTTTGGGAGACTGAAGTGGGAGGATCACTTTAGGCCAGGAGTTTGAGACCAGCCCGTGCAACATAACAAGACCCCATCTCTATAAAACAATTAAAAAGGTAGCCAGGCATAGTGCTGCACACCTGTAGTCCCAGCCACTCTGGAGGCTGAGAAGAGAGGATCACTTGAGTCCCAGAGTTCGAGGCTGCAGTGAACTATGATCGCACCACTGCACTCCAGTCTGAACAACAGAGTGAGATCCTGTCTCAAAAAAAAAAAAAAAAAATTGGAAAGGGAAGATCATGAAAAATCTTGAATATCATACTGACAGGCAGAGATCTGATTTTTAGGCAATGGAGGGTCCTTAAAAGTCACTGTAAGTATCTAAGAGAAAGATTATCATAGCCTGAAGGAAGGAAGTATAGCTAAACAGTAGGGAATGGGTTTGAAAAATATTTAGAAAGTAAAATAATTAGTGCCTGGGGATTACTCAAGTGTGTGAAGCACAGGAAAGGGAGAAGTCAAGCTTCACACCAGGTTCCTACCTTGGGTGCTTGAAGGAATGGTGGTTCCCCCAGGTGAGGAATTTCCTAAGAGAAGCAGGTTACAGAGGAAAAGAGTGAGTATGAGGTGCCTGTGACCTCCACAGATACACAACCCCAGGACAGGTGCATATATGAGTCTAAACTTAAGAGAGAGGGACAGTCAAAAGATACCAATTACGGAGTCATCAACAAATAGGAAGAGAATGAGATTGTCCAAGAATACATGGAAAGACAGAGAGCAGCTCTTTTGGCCCTTGGAATGCAGATGTTGCTAGTAACTTGATGTTGTTCGCAGCTGATGACCTCAATTTTCTTGATGATAAGGAAGACAAAGTTATCTCTTGAGAGAAAGTGGAACTCAAATACTGATGACAATTTTTAGTACAACAGTGACAAAGAGAAACAAAGATCTAGAAAAAAAGAAGAAAATATGCTCTGTTAGTGTCATGCAAGTCTTCATCATTGTTCCTATTGTTAACAAACCCTTTCCTTGTACTCTAAAATTCTAACCCTAGGTCTCTAATTTTTCTCACATGGCTGTACAAAACTACCTGAGACTGGACATTTATACAGAAAAGAGGTTTAATTGACTCAGTTTCACAGGCTGTACAGGAGGCATGGCTGGGGAGGCCTCAGGAAACTCACAATCACGGCAGAAGGTGAGGGGGAAGCACATCTTCACATGGTGGCAGGAGAGAGACAAAGAGTGAAATGCTACACACTTTTTTTTTTTTTTTTTTTTTTTTTTGAGACAGAGTCTCACTCTTGTCACCCAGGCTGGAATGCAATGGTTTGATCTTGGCTCACTGCAACCTCCAGCTCCTGGGTTCAAGTGATTTTCCTGCCTCAGTCTCCCGAGTAGCTGGGATTACAGGCATGTGCCACCATGCTTGGCTAATTTTTGTATTTTTAGTAGAGATGGGTTTTTGCCATGTTGGCCAGGGTGGTCTTGAACTCCTGACCTCAAGCGATCTGCCCACCTTGGCCTCCCAAAGTGCTACACACTTTTAAACAACCAGACCTCATGAGAACTCACTCACCATCACGAGAACAACAAGGGGGAAATCCACCCCATGATCCAATCACATCCCACCAGGTCCCTCTTCTAACATGTGGGGATTACAATTCGACATGAGATTTGGGACACAGCATCAAACCATATCAGTCCTGCTCACTAAACTGGTAAAAAAAAAATTGCTAAAAATGTTAAAGTAATATTTTCCATAACCTTGGGCACCCTCATAGTTGATTTCAATTCCTTCTGATTTACACACACATTGAATCATCACTAAGCAAGAAAATATAAGCCTTCTCCAATGGCAACACCTGTGTAAACCTATTGAGGAGACCAGGCACAATGGCTCACACCTGTAATCGCAGCACTTTCACAGGCCAAGGTAGGAGAATCGCTTGAGCCCAGGAGTTCAAGATCAGCCTGGGCAAACGGCAAAACTCTGTCTGTACAAAAAATTAAAAAAGTACAGATGTAGTGGCATGCACTTGTAGTCCCAACTACTTGGGAAACTGAGGCGGGAGGATCCATTGAGCCCGGGAGGTCAAGGCTGCAGTGAGCTGTGGTCATGCCACTGCACTCCAGCCTGGGCAACAGAGAGAGACCTTGTCTCCAAGGAGAAAAAAAAAAAAACTGATGGGGAGATATTTTCTTTTTTCTTTTCCTTTGATGTTTAGGATTCATTATTCTAAAACATCTCAACAATCTATGTGTGTCAGAAATGGTTTCCAACAGACAATAAATATAGACTCCTCCTATCAACCTTCATTACCACAAGAAATTCAGAGTATTGATGCTCTAGGAAAGATGCCTTCCCTAGAGAAATTGGCAGAGGAACAGAATGAGGACTAAGAAGACAAGATGAACAACCTGTTTATATGAGGACATTACTGCCTTACTCAACAGATACGAGCAGTGTAACGATGGTAATATTGGAGTGCATGAGTGTTTTACCTATAAAAGAGATCCTCCTAGTTAAAAAGAGCTGAAAAACCACTGAGTTAGATAATCCTAATCCATGGATAATCCCCACATTTTCCTTTAATGGCTTCATCTGCCACCCCCAAGAAAGCTTCCATCCAAGCTCTGAACGTGAGCCAAATGGGCAGATCTGAGTTTTGCCCCCTCTTAATGAAGCATGGTAAATGACCACAAGGCAAGCTGCTAAGAGAGGAAATGAAAGGACCCCGGGGTCTGGATATACCAAACTGGCTAATTGGCCCCTGAAAGATAGTGAGCAGCGTGTTAATGCCTCTTGTGTCCTAACAGAACAGCAGGATCTCCATGGAAGAATACCTCTCCAACTGGGAGGTCACCATAAAAGCAACATTCTCAACCGGCATCCTTTGTCCCTGTTGAAAGCCCTGAAAACATTTCTGCACAGTGTTACTTTGCCGTTTAGAGGACTTGGATGCAGGGTGCAGAGAAGGAAAGGAAAGGCTTTTCATACATTTCCTCCGCTACATTCAGAGACTCTTACTGAAATATCAGTTTTAAGATCTTCCTTTTATAGTCTACCTTTGAACCTGACCTAGAATACCAAACACATAAAAAAGGTATAAGGGGGATGGAAAACCAGAAACTGAGGAAAAGGAAACCAGAGGGAAAAAAATGTACCCCAAATCAGGTTGGAAATGTTAGCATGGGAAAACTTCTATACATGTGTGATGTTGCCTCCCATTTGCCCACACTAAAGAGTTTACAGTATGTATTTGCATAATATTATCTCCCTAAACGGCCTTTTCTTAATGCTTAATTGAAAGCAGTTCTCACCTCTGGATACTTTCTAAGCATCTACTTTTATTCCAAGTGAGTAGAAGATCAAAGTGTACATATAGGGATGTTATGAAGCCACAGTTTGGCCTCCAAAGCCTCCTTATTGAAGGGCAGTATTCTTCAGATAGACCTTGAGTCCATGCAAGAATGTAATTTAAGTGTAGAATTATGTGACTGCAGCAAAGCTCAGCTGCTCCCCTTCTTTTCTCCCTGGCTGTCTCCCTTTCTGTCTTCAGGATTTATTCCCCTTCTCTCTCAACCCCTTCTTTGGCCTTCCTTGCTCTCTCCTTCTTAGCCTCCTGAATCTAGTTAGAACAGAGAGCCAAATAGTGTCCAAACACTATTCATAGTTTAATACACATAGCACCAGGAAAGGCTCAGGTTTTATACATTTAGATATTTTCCTCATTTGGAGCAAAGATATTTCTAATTAAAGAAAATATATATATTTCCATTTGAATAGAAATTGGCCATCACCAACTTAGGCAGTGAAAGTTACCTTAAGAAAATATTGGCCAGGCCAGATGCAGTGGCTCACACCTGTAATCCCAGCACTTTGGGAGGTCTAGGTGGAAGGACTGCTTGAGTTCAGAAGTTTGAGACCAGCCTGGGCAACACAGGGAAGCCTCATCTCTACAAAAATCAAAAAATACAAAAATTAGAGGGGCGTGGTGGCATGTGCCTGTAGTCCCAGCTACTTGGGAGGCTGATGTGGGAGGATCCCTTGAGCCAGGGAGATGGAGGCTGCAGTGAGCTGAGCTGTGATCATATAACTGGACTCCAGCCTGGGCAAGAGAGAGACCCTGTCTCAGAAAGAAAATGTACATATATGTGTATATTAGTCGAGTGATGGTTGCATTCTTTTTCTCCACCAAAGTTAAAAAGATCTTGAGGAAGACATTTGAGGCAGATGAAAGTTATTGTCACGTTTCATTGTTATGTTCCTTTGAACTACCAGCCCTTTCTTCACCTTTGAATCTGGGCTAAATCTCTTGCTTCTACAGCTTTTTCTGTGGTTTAGAGGAGGACACTACTACGGGAAAAGAGCAAGTCCAGCCTGGTAAACTGCACAGAGATATGCCCAGGTCTCCAGAGACATCTACTTGAGGTGTAACTTCCACAGTACGCTGAAGTTTGTTCCTGTGGAAGTTTCCATGAGGGGCTTAAAAAAAAAGTCCCCCTAATCTTGTTCCCACGTGTCTACTGTGCATTTGAAGATGAAGATTATTTATGTTTAGAGAGCACTGTAGACACTTAGATACCTCTCCAGCAGGCAGAGGTCTGAAGGGTGCACTAATGTTTATCACTGGCACCAGAACAAGCATTACAGAAATGCAAGCTCCTTGGCTTACCTCCCAAATTCTGCTTTCCCTCCTGATGGACTTCAAGCCACTTTGTAAATTGCTTTGTTGTTTGAGGAGTGCATTTCTATCTGGGTTACAATTCTGCCGGAGTCAATATTTTGACAGTCTTCTTCTGGAAAACTCCCCATTTCTAATATATCACCCCACTGGATTCTCCTTTGAAGTTGGAGAACATAGCCCAGGCCTGAGATTACATATCAGGATTATCTCCCTCTTGAGGTCTGTGCCCCTGTATGAGTGTGCATATGTGTATATCTGAGCTGGTTAATTTTTTCGTTGGTTGCTTAGAGCATGGTATAATATTGGCCTGGATCCTAGACTCAGTCCCTGAACATTACACAGTGAAAAAAGCTGATCACAGCCGCAGATCCAGCTCACCCCTAACCACTCACTTGGCAATTATGTGCCTGTGATCAGTCTAAAGGATGGAATGAGGAACCCTAGTCCAGGCTTGCCTACCTGCCTGGTCCTTGTAACCCAACTCAACACTCTGTTTCAGTTATCCTGGACTTTTCACTATTCCCCACATATCTCGTAGCAATTCCCATCTTTGTGTTTTGACCTACACAGCATCCCAGTACTGGATTATTTGCCCCGCTCTTCCCTGAGGATTTAATACTATGTGATATACAGTCAAGCTCTTACTCTAAGAAGCCTCCCCAGCCATTTGCACCTAACAACTGCTCTTGTTGATTCTCCACAGTGAGCACTAGATATAACATATTGCCAGTTGTTCTTCGTAGACTGGAGATAAGAAACCTATGACCCCAGATACGCACACTCAAACTGTTCTTACCCAATCTCCTTTTTATATAAAGCAAGAAAGACAAAAACCAAGTGATTGTATATTCAGAACCTGACTTCCAAATCACATCACACTGCCGAGTTTTGTTTCAGCTTTCCAGCTAGACTGTGTGCCCTGACGCCAGGGACTGTGCACTTTCCCCCTACACCCCCCACACCATCTGGCAGAGTCAGTGCACACAGTAGGCTCAGCAAATGCTTGCTCAGCTTCTGATTGTTCCCAGGTAAGCCCACGCCCCTCCTGGAAGCACGCGTCAGAGAGCATACACATCACTTGAGAGGAATGATTTTTACAGCTTCCAGGGCATCAGAGTAATTCCAGTTGCTTACTGTGTAACCCAGGGCCACAGCTGGGCAGGATCTGCCCCACTCAGTGACTCCCAGCCTAGGAGAGACCTGGGAGCTGAAATCTAGGCTGATCCTCAGATCGCCAAGTCCTGGAGGGGAGCTGATTAAGGAAGGGAGGCCTTTTTCTAATTGTTAAAGGGTACTGATAACTTCCCTAAGGCACACACCCACAGGGCAAAGGCTCCTGAGAGAGCACTTTTTTTTTTCTTTCTTTCTTTTTTTGAGACAGGGTCTTGCTCTGTCACCCAGGCTGGAGTGCAGTGGCGTGAACGTGGCTCACTGCAGCCTCCACCTCTTGAGCTCAAATGATTCTCCTGCCTCACCTCCCCCTGTAGCTGGGACCACAGGTGTGCGTCACCATGCCCAGCTATTTTTTGTGTTTATTTGTAGAGACGGGATTTCAGCCATGTTGCCCAGGCTGGTCTTGAACATTTGAAGAGGAAGGATGACCAAAATTAGTTTGTAGAGCTAATAGGCTTTAGTTTTATATTATTGCAGAGTCTAGGGAGGGAGAGATTTATATTTTAAATTTCCCTTAAAATCATGAAATACATGCCTTCAAAATACATATGTTAACATACGCATATATGCACACATGCCTGTGCATGCACACACCCACATACACACATGAGGAACTGGATTTAGGATAACAATGGGGATAAATGCAAAGCTAAATGTTTCAAAACATAGAGCTACCAATATTTGTTAATTTACTCCAAAGGATGTTAGGATGGCATTTTCACCTGTTCGTTTCTTTCCTTCTTTTCTTTCTTTCTTTTTCTTTCTTTCTTTCTTGCTCTTGCTCTCTCTCTTTCCTTCTTTCTTTCTTTTCTTTCTTTCTTTCAATATATGTATTAGGTAAGTACTATTTTTAAATGATCTGTTATAACCCAGGAAGAGATATGAGGCTTCATATTCTCTGGTCTGGAGATACCACAAACATTTCCACAGTGTGGTCAGAAAAGCCAGCAGCATACTAGAAAACCTGAACAATAGAAAAAGCTTGACCATCTCCCGGAATAGCATATGTGCATCCTCTCATAAGTGGGAGCTAAGCTATGAGGATGTAGAAACATGCGCAGTGATATAGTGGAGTTTGGGGACTCAGGTGGGGAGGTAGGGAGGGGGCTGAGGGATAAAAGTCTACACAGTGGGTACACTGTACATTGCTGGGGTGATGGGTGCACCAAAACCTCAGAATTCACCATAAAGAAGCCATCCATGCAACCAAAAACTACCTGTACCTCAAAAACTATTGAAATAAAGAAATAATCATCATAATAAAACTGAACTGGAAAAAAGAATATATATATGAACTCATTTAACTGAAGTTCATACATAATCACAAATACATATCTGTGTGTGTGGTGTGTGTATATACGTGTGTGTGTGTATATATATATATACACAGAAGCTGATATATATGTATATATGATTTATATATTTATATATATATATACACCTATATACTCACATATATGTGTGTGTGTGTGTATATATATATATGTATACACACACACACACACACACACACACATATATATATATATACACACATCCTCCCCAGGATCATTGTGTATATTTTTTTTCCACTGCATTACTGGTCCTTAGAAAAAGAGTAAGCAAAACAACAGAAGAGATATAAGCACTTCTGTATGAGAATCATTTTTATATAATCATAAAAAGTTAAAGTTGGAAGGGACCTCAAAGCCATCTAAACATCAATCTTCTCCTGTCACAGAGAGAAATTTGTAATCTGAAAAGGTTCAGTGATTTATTTTTCATTTCTTATTTTAGAGACACCAAGTTATTTTCAGGATCTAACATGTTTCCTCTTTCCTCCAGATTCCTGGAAGCCAGGAACACCTAGCTATAGCTTTGTTTTTCTAGCACTGAACACTTCTCATGGGCAAGTAGCAAATTCACCCTTTTAGATGGATATGAACTCAGAATATTGATCTCAAGTTGTATTTATTTTAATAAACTCATAATAAAAAGTTGGAATCATTACGTATCACACAATTTATCCCAAATGGCCCTAATTTATTTTTTTGGACCATCTCCAAAGCAAGTACAGTAAGATTTACCTGTCTCAGAGTTGTAACAGGAATATTGTCAGAGTTCAGTAAGTTCTTTAAAGGACCCAGAAATCTGTGGTTCAATACAATCAAATACATTGCTATTTTTCTTTTGTTCACTACACTAATTATTGTCCATAATTTCCTGTGGGAATGGGTAAAACGACTATATGGACAAGGTTGATAGGCTAATTAGTGAATAAGAGATTTTAAGATTCAATTCTGTTTTCAATGCCAATTTACAAAGAGGAACAGATAGAATCTCATAATCACATCTCCCATTACTTAAAGTACAATAGCGCTATTCACTGACGTCAGATAATCAACTTGAACTAAGATTGTTAAAAGAAATAAGTTGATAAATATAGTCGTTAAAGTCTATAGAAAATCAAGAATATGTAACAGTAAATGTTGGAAAAGTGAATGAACCTTAAAGAAAGTATATCCAAAGAAAGTTTTATACATTCCTTGATCTTACAAAATTTTATATTGCCAAAAAACTACAATAGATTCTACCTTCAGTATTCTTTTAATCCTTAATGATTGTTTCTATGTAGTTTTAAATGTTTTATATTCACAGAATATATTTTAGATTTGTATAGAATTTGAAAAATGGGTTCCATACTAACTTCAGAAAATTTGGTTAATATCTTAATTATAGTTTTTTTTTTAAATTTCACTTTGCCTTCTATTACTTCTTCCTGCTTCTTACTAGTAGTGTTTTATATAATAAGTAGCAAAAGCTCTAGTCTTCAATCTCTCTGAAAATAGATGTCAGCTATTTATAGTCTTTTCCCTTCCATCTTGCTTTAATGGACACTTTTAAAGCTGTTAGAAATTAAAGGTCACCATGGCTGAATGTGTATGTGGCAATTTGTCCAAATTAACTTATTACTGTGGTCTTGTGAGTGAACATGAGCCATCTGGCTCCATTTCTTAGGAAATATCTTCCAAGAGAATGATTTCTGGGGCAAGATTTAATTATCTTTCACCTAAAAAAAAAGCTCTATAGTTACCCTGTGAGTTAAACCCATGGATTAATTATTATTAAATTTCAGTTCAGGAGGATCTTTCTTCCATGTCTCATCTGTTTTCATTTGTACAAGAAAATAGACCCAAATCTGCCTAGAATAGCTACTTTTAGAAGGAGGTTTAGAATATCACACATTGAAGAAAGTTGTCATTCTGCTAAATTGAAGAAAGCGAAGAGAGATATTGAATATACACATTTTCTTCTGGCCATAAGCTTTGAGGAGAATGTAATCCATTCCCTCCACATTTTCCTTGTATTTCCTGAATTTTAAGAAGGTACCAGCTTTAAACACAGCTTTTAGTTGTTACTATCTCACTATGTAAATATAAACAAAGACCACTGTTGTCACTGGCCTACTGAGTGGCCTCCAAAGTCAATATGACACTAGGTAGTTCATTTTCACCTGCCAAATAGAAGTAAAAGATAATCATACCTGTTCTTTCAATTGCCTCCCAGCTTTTCACAGCTAAATAGATATAAAATGCAACCAAATTCAAATGTGCTTTTATTATTAAATAATTGGATAAGACTCTATCACAATACAAAAATCACCAAAAGATAACAGCTGTCATAACTAAATTGATTGTAATAAAGAAAATCAAAATAGTAACAAATTTAACAGACAGAGCTAGTCAGGGCTACAGGCCCTAGAATCAGTCTTTGCTCTCCATACTTTTACTAAGGGTCTCAAAATATTTTCTGATTTAGTTTCTTTTTAAAATAATACGATTCGTAAATCAGTTGTTTTGTTTTGGTTTTCTGTTTTGTTTTGTTTCTTAAGACAAGTCTCTCTTTTCTTTGCCAAGATCCCATACCAAAAATAATCCCCACCAAATTTAACTTTTCAGCATTCATGAGCTTTATCCGATTTAATGTGGCTTCAAATTTTAATCCATATACTCTCCAGTGTTCATTTGACAAATGTAATTTATATGCACCATTATTTTATCTCAAGTAGAACCCTAGACAAGATGTTTAAAAAAAGAACCAGTAAAGGTATTCTACCACTTAACAGATGTTGCCCTGGCTAGATTCCCTCACTCTAAAATGGAAGTGCTAAGAAGTAGCTTTCTTCATTTGTAATATCTCCTTCAGATTTCATAGGCTAAGTGCATTGTCTTAAATTAGCTACATAGCCAAAACAGAAGACAAATTAAGGCTGATTTCAGGATGCTAATCAGAATTAAACTAGGATATTTGTGTAAACAGGAAATAGGCTTGAAATAGACCTATTTCATTTTTTACTGAACCTGCATTTGTCTTCAACTAGTAGATGAGGAACCAGTATCTAGTTTACAGTTAATGGCATGCTGCTATCAGTTTTGTTTTTTAATACAAATAAGTTACATGAAAAGTAACTACAGCATGATCCAAAGATCTATCTTGACTTGGCCTTAAGCTTTGAGAATGCAATGCATTCCCTCCACATTTTCCCTGTATTTCCTAAATTTTTAAAAAGGTAACAGCTTTAGACCCAGCTTTTAGTTGTTACTATCTTGCTTTATAAATGTAAACAAAGACTACTGTTGTCATTGGCCTACTGAATAGCCTCCATAGTCAACAAGACACTAGATAGTTCAATGGACTTGTGCATACTCTGTTTTCAAAATAAAGAAGAAAGAAAAAAGATAAACATTGAAAACACTTGCTTCTTGTAGCTCGTGAATGGTTGAGACTTTTGAGACATTTAATGTTATACTAGCCTCAGAGAAACACAGAGAGACGATAAACAAATAAAATCCATCTCCCTGCAACCAGATCCCCAGTTCAAGACTCTCTAGCCCTATGGATTTGTGATACATGAAGGTTGTATTTATTTAATACCCAAACAGCTGATGAAAAAGAGTAATTTAGGCATATCCAAATATCAAAACATTGTGTTGACAAAATATCCAGGTGGCAAGCCAAATTGTTTTACTTTCATTCATGTGTTTAAATGTTCTATTGAAATTGAAGCAATGTGATAGAAGATGTGGTACATATTGACTATGATATTATAGCATCTTTATTTGAAATTTCTCTGGAGTACATTCTTATCCTATGCAGATTCTCTTTTGTAGAATATACTCCATGATTGGAATAAAATATTAAAAATAATATTCGGCCCTTAAAATATCTTATTTTTGGAGGAAAAAATTTAACTGTTGGGGAAAAAACATATTAAAATGTATTGAAATCTCTTCCATATAAAAATAAGAGTATCTGTCATGAAATGAGGGTAAAAATGGCCAAGGGTTGTAAACCGGAGTTTTCAAATATCTATTTTGCAATAGTCACAAGTGTGAATATACACTACTCTTTTTTTTTTTTTTTTTTTTTTTTTTTTTTTTATACAGAGTCTTATTCTATCGCCCAGGCTGGAGTGTAGTGGCATGATCTCAGCTCACTGCAACCTCCACCTCCCAGGTTCAAGGGATTCTGGTGCCTCAGCCTCTTGAGTAGCTAGGATCACAGGTGTGTACCACCACACCCAGCTAATTTTTGTATTTTTAGTAGAGATGGGATTTTGCCATGTTGGCCAGGCTGGTCTCAAACTACTGGCCTCAAGTGATACATCCACTTCAGCCTCCCAAAGTCCTGGGATTACAGGCATGAGGCACTGCACCCAGCCACAAATGTGAATATATGCAACATTTTTAATGATTCCTTTTGTTCAATATTTCATTATTTATTCCAAAAATGTTATTGATTAGTCAGGGAAAGCAAACAAACAGAAGATCTTTATTTACTTTGTGTTTTTACAAAAAAAGTTGAATCTATCAAAAGAAACAATGTCATGAGAAAAATAACTATTTCTAAGAACTCATCTGAGACTATAGGATATTTTCATGGATGAAATGATTTGTATTTGAGTCTAAAATTCCAGAATTGATGAAGTAAACATCAGTCTCTTGAACTGCCAAGGCAATATTAATGTCACTTGAAATGAATGTGAATGTCAGAGAAGCATCCTTCTAGCTAGGGCTCTGTTGTCATGCCAAGACTGTAGCAGAGGCGGGGCACCGTGGCTCATGCCTGTAATCCCAGCACTTTGGGAGGCCGAGGCAAGTGGATCATGAGGTCAAGAGATCGAGACCATCCTGGCCAACATGTGAAACCCCGTCTCTATTAAAAATACAAAAATTAGCCAGGCATGGTGGTGTGAACCTGTAGTCCTAGCTACTCAGGAGGCTGAGGCAGGAGAATCGCTTGAACCCGGGAGGCAGAGGTTGCAGTGAGCCAAGATCACACCACTGCACACCAGCCTGGGTGACAGGGCAAGATTCTGTCTCAAAAAAAAAAGACTGTAGCAGAATCATCAGGTTGGAATGGCAAGGAAGTCAAAATGCTTCAATATTTACCCTGTGTGTGTGAGCGACTGTGGAGGAAGAAAACCTGAATCCACACATCCCCAACCCAATCTTCAGCATCACTGGTAGACAGCTGTCTATTCCCCCATGCTTCAAGCCTGATCATTCCCTTCGTGACATTGTTTTGCCACTGACCCTAAATTGTCTCTGCTGCAGACACCAAAGGCCAAGTGAAATGAAGCCACCTCCTTATTTCAGAGCACAACTGCGACCACACTGACCAAAGAACTGAGAAGCCATGGATGGCTCATGAAAGTCTTAAAGTGAACAAAAGTAAACAAAGTAGGCCTCACTGGATGTGGCAGGTAAACAGGGATTTCAGCAAACATGAATAATGTTTTCTGGCGACCCCAACAGCTGGACACAGGGGCCTATAAAAATACTCACTGAGATTCAAAAATAATTAAGCATATCTACATACAAGAAACGATGGTTCTAAGTCCATGCTTTTGCAGAGACCTTTTAAAGATTGTTTAAAAGGAATTCACAAACAATTAGAGGATAAGACATTTTAAAACTAATCTGATCACATCGCTGTGCTCAATAATGTATGCCTTGTGACTTTAGACAAATATCTCAGTCTCCTCATCTGTTAAATGGAGGTGGACAAGGTAACTACTGCAGAACTTCCCTGCTCTAACAATCTTTGACTTGCAATGCACAAGAATATGTAGAATTGTAGACCAATCAAAATGAAAGAAAAGTTCAACTCTTTGCTTGTCTGTCTTCTATAAGTTTTCTTCAAGAGGCATGTATTCCTTTTGTAAATTAGGAAGTAATAACTGATTCGAATCATTTTTTAAAATGTAAAATATACAGGAATAGAAACTCTAGAAATCATCTCATTTAACAAAGGAGATCACAGAAGAAGAATAAGGTTTGGTAATTTGCCCAAATGCACACAGTCATCAGTGGGAAATCTAGAAGCCTGACCAAGTTCCTTTGACTCCAAGGTTAATGCTCTTTGGTGACACATGAAAACATTAAACATAAAATGGCAATCGTTTCCATCAGTTAAGAAGAATGAAAATCCCGCACTTGATTTTTTTTTTTTCATCTTCCTGTCAGGATTTAAAAGGCATTGAGGCCTAGAAATAAAACTAAGAATTTAAAGAACTTGAAGGCCAGGGACTTATTTGTAATGTATGCAACTCCTGCAACAGACCAGGCCCCACTTTTGTCTGTGCTGTATGTACTGGTCCAGATTCCAAAGATCCCTTTCCTCTCTTCCCAGCTAGCCATACAGGTGTGTGACACAGTTACCCGCCATTCCCTTCTCCACACCACAAGTAAAGTGACAAACGCCTAAATCCCTTTGGTGTGATGTTTCTTCTCAAAGCAATCCTGAAAATCCCATCGATCAAAAATCTATATCTGGGCCAGCTGCAGTGGCTCACACCTATAACCCCAGCACTTTGGGAGGCCGAGGTGGGCAGATCACCTGAGGTCAGGAGTTCGAGACCAGCCTGGCCAACATAGTGAAACCCCATCTCTACTAAAAATACAAAAATTAGGCGGGCATGGTGGTGGGCTCTTGTAATCCCAGCTACTCAAGAGGCTGAGGCAGGAGAATTGCTTGAACCTGGGAGGTAGAGGTTGCAGTGAGCTGAGATCACACCACTACACTCCAGCCTGGGCTACAGAGTGAGACCCCATCTCCAAAAAAAAAAAAAAAAGAAAAAAGAAAAAAGAAAAAATCTATATCTATCTGGATTGAAGCCACTTTTATATCTACTCCATTTAGGCAGCCTCTCTCCCCTAAATGCCTCAAGTTATCAAAACCTGAAAGAGGAAGAGTGATATTAGCTCTCCTGGATTCATGCCACCTAACCTTGCTTTATCGTTTGCTTTTTAAATTTAACAATATCATGAAACAAACATACTCTGACTTTTGAGGGAAAAGGTGTAATAAACTAGCAAAAGCAAATTGCTGTGCAAATCTGGTTGGACCTTACAAGATGTTCTGGACTCTTAGCTGCTACCCTTTTTACTTGCTCTCTGTTGACACCAGCAGATCTTGAACAAGGTATTTATGAAAATATCCTACAATCACTATTTACTGGCTACAAGTACCAGAAATGGTTTATTGGCTAGTATTAGGAAAACATCAAAGTCCTTTCTTAGACAATGCCGTTTCTCGCCTGTTTGGTGTGCATGAAATCAGTGAACCTCATAAAGTAGCAAAGGCTCATTAGGAAGAGCAACAAAGTTCCCAGTGTCCTTTATGAGCCTGCAGCTACCACAGAAGAGATCAAAGCCTCCATCAGTAGTGTCTGTGCATCTGTTTTCTTTTTATCCAACGTGTTATTTAGTTAGTAGTCTGACAACATCAAAGCTTTGGGCCATTAGATTCTTTGGTCCACATGGGACTAAATTTATTTTTACAAATGCATCTGGTCTAAGATGGAAATGTTTCCGATAACTGCAGGTCACCAATTTGAGCGCAGTGAACACTTTCAGAATTTATTGTTAGATTTTAGGGGCCAGCTTCTCTTCATCAGCCTAGAGGTAGAGCACTTCTTAGCTCTTGGTAAAGTCACCCACTTTCATGGCAGAAATGTCACATACAATTTAGAATCCAAGAAAAAGAAGTCTCTCTCTCTCTCTTCTCTCTCTCTCTCTTTCTCTCTCTCTTCCTTCTTCTCTCCTTCCTTCCCTCTATCCCTCCAGCTTTACTGAATTATAATTTATATACTAAAAAGTTCACCTATTTCAAGTACACAATTTGATAGTTTTTAATGCATTCATGGAGTTGTGTAATTTTAGGACATTTTCATCACCTTAAAAAGAAACCATATACCCATTAGCAATCATTTTCCATTTTCCCCAAAACTACCCCCCAACTGAGTCCTAAGCACCCACTAATCTTCTTTCTGCCTCTATGGATTAGTCTATTCTAGATATTTTATATAAATGGAATCAGAGGATATGTGGTCCATTGTGACTGGCTTCTTTCACTTAGCATAGTGTTTACAAGGTTCGTAATGTTGTAGCGTGGATCAATATTGTATTTCTTTGTACTGCCAAATGATATTCTGCTGTGTGTATATACCACACTTCATCCATTTATCCAAATGTCCAGTTGGTGGACATTTGGATTGTTGCCTCTTTTTGGTTATTATGAAGAAAGCTGCTATGAACGTTTGGGTATGGACTGTTGTGTGAGCATGCATTTTCGTTGCTCTTGGGTATATACCTAGAAGTGGATTGCTGGGTCACATGGCAATGCTACTAACTTTTGAAGAGCTGCCAATGTGCCAAGGCAGCTGCACCATTTTATATTCTCACCAACAACGCATGAGGGTTCCAATCCCTCCACATCCTTACCAACACTTGTTATAATCTGTCATTTTTATTGTAGCCACCCTGGTAGGTGTCAAGTGGCATCTGTTTGCAGCTTTGATTTGCATTCCCCATTCTGTATGCATGGCTGATGATGTTGAGCATCTTTTCATGCTCATCGACCATTTGGATGTTTTCTCGGAAGAAATGTCTATCCGGATCCTTTGTCCATTGTTTTTAAAGAGACAGAGTCTCGCTCTTGCTCTGTTGCACAGGCTGGAGTGGAGCAGCACGACCATAGTTCACTGCAGCCTCCTGGGCTGAAGCAATCTTCTTGCCTCAGCCTCCCTAGTAGCTGGGACTACAGCCACATGCCACCATGCTGGGCTAATTTTTTTATTTTTATTTTTATTTTTTTTGTAGAGACAGGGTCTTGCTTTGTTGCTTAAGCTGGTCTCAAACTCCTCCCAATCCTCCCACCTCAGCCTCCCAAAGTGTTGGGGTTACAAATGTGAGCCATCACGCCTGACCCTTTGTCCATTTTTCAACTGGTTTGTCTTTTTATAATTGAGTTATGAGAGTTTATTATGTATTCCATATACAATTCCTTTATCAAATATATAGTTTGTGAAATCTCTCCCTCCTTTTACTTTTATTTAGATGTTCCCTGCTAAGTGTGTATTTCCTTTTTTTTTTTTTATGAATGGGAAACTCCTTAAAAAGAAATGAGTCACAATAGAGGAAATAAAGCATATTTCAGAACCATCTGTTTGCTAAATATACAAAATCCCCCCAAAAAATCCCCTAATAAGAATATTAGAACAAGAGCTTAGTTAGTAAAGCCATCATGGTCACTTGAGTTTTGTTCCAACAATAATTATTCCCATTTATATACAGATTTACAGTTTACAGGATACCCTGATATACATAGTCTCTTGTAAGCTTCCTAATATTTCTATGAAATATTACCATTATCCCATTTACCAATAAAAAAATGGAGGCAGAGTGGGACAGGTGATAAAGACATTCAGTAGACTATCTTGTCACACTTAAGTTCAGCCTAAATACCATCTATATAAATGTCAAAATATTCAGACCAAGATTCATTCAATGAAATATAAGAGCCACCAAGCCAGTTATGGGAATTGATTTTTTAACACTTTATTCATTTGTATGTGATGCCCAAATGTGAGATGAAAAGTAAAACAAGTGTCTATGTCACAATAGACTGGCCATGGTTATAATTACATGACATCAGGAATCCAGAAACTTAATTTATCTTTCGTCATGTCTTGCAACACGTATGTCTAACCCCCTGAAAAGATGCATTAATATAGGGTCTACGGTCACACAGTAAATTAGTGAAGGGGTCGAGTGTATGTATGTTTCACTGGCAGAGGCTACCACTAATTTACTGTGTGACCATAGACCCTACATCAATGCATGGAGATAGCCTATATCTTGAATTTTCAGCTACCAGTGAAGCACAGGTACCCTCGGCCCTACCACTAATGTACTGTGTGGTATTAGGCAAATCACAAACCTCTTTCAGCCCATACTTCACCATCTAGGGAATCTACTAAGATTCCCAATCCAAGTCTCTCCAGTTTATAGGATTCTGCTGCATTAAATGATCTGGATTTGGGCTGAAATAAAGTACGAGACATAAAACATATGAGCACCTGGCACCTAAATAAGAGAGAAGTAGCAATAATGAGATGGCGATACAGTTCTTGTGGGCTAGTCACTAGGTGAGACTACACTTGGAAGAAGGCAATTTGTTTTTATTAAGATTATCACTAATAACAATTATCACTAATAATCACTAATATCATTAGCAATAATATTAATAGTGGTGGGAGGATTGCTTGAACTCAGATGCTCGAGACCAGCCTGGGCAAGCACAGAATTCAGAATAAGCTCAGTGGTCAGTCCCTGCCCCCGCCCCCTATACCATACACAGAGTAATAATGAACTATTTCTCATTTGTGCCCAGTTTTTTGCAGAAGTTTTTTAAATGGGGATTAACCTCCTCACAGTATCAGTCCATGGTGGTTCCAGCATAGTCTATACCCAAAACCATGTTTAGAACCACTTGAGGGAAGCTCAGAACCAATCAAGGCTATACCCAGGACAATCTACTAAACCAGAATCTTCCCTCAGGTCAAAAGCTAAGCATTTTCCAGGCTCCCAAAGCTACTCTGAGTCAATGGAACTTACAGTGATGTGTGGCAGCAAGTCAGGGTAGCCTCTAATTCCTATACAGAGAAAGATGTTTTCTGAAACAAAATTCAGGTCACACTTCCTGACAATAGAGAATATTGCATACATACATAGATCACCCTGGAAAATCCAGGTCCTACAATTGCCATATGTTTGTAACTGCCAGGTGATGCTATTAACACCCCTTAAGGACAGACTAGTGACCTGCTAAGAGAAGATCACATTTCCAGAATTTAAGTTTTGAGCCTGTCCCTGTAAACTGGCCATAGGACCAACTGTGGGAAAGGATAACTGCTTTCTAAGTCAATTTTAGCCCATATATCAGTACTTATTAATGTTAAATGAAGCAATAGGATAGATCTCTGTAAAATGCTATGTGGTTATTTGTGTCATTCATCATGTATGCAGCACTACTTTATCTGTGTCTCTACCTGAATATTACACAGGTGAATATAAAAATATATCTGAAAGTATTTCTAATTTTCTAGAGAAATTTCCAAATATAAATCTAAAATTATATTAACCAAAGAGTATTACATTCAAATTTATTAATCAGGCTGGGCATAGTGGCTCATTCCTGTTATGCCAGCACTTTGGAAGGCCAAGGTGGGAGGATTGTTTGAGCTCAGAAGTTCAAGACTAGCCTGGGCAACACAGCAAGATCTCATTTCCACTAAAAATCAAAAAAAGTAGCCAAGTGTGGCGACATGTGCCTCTTTTCTCAGCTACTCAGGAGACTGATGTGGGAGGATCAATTGAGCCCTGGAGTTCAAGGCTGCAATGAACCATGATTGCACCACTGCAGTCCAGTTTGGGCAACACAGGGAGACCGCTTCTCAAAAAATAAAAAAATAGGCCAGGCGCGGTGGCTCACGCCTGTAATCCCAGCACAGTCGGAGGCCAAGGCAGGCGGATCGCGAGGTCAGGAGATCCAAACCATCCTGACTAACACGGTGAAACCCCATCTCTACTAAAAATACAAAAAATTAGCCGGGCGTGGTGGCGGGTGCCTGTAGTCCCAGCTACTCAGGAGGCTGAGGCAAGAGAATGGTGTGAACCCAGGAGGCGGAGCTTGCAGTGAGCCGAGGCCGCGCCTCTGCACTCCAGCCTTGGCAGCAGAGTGAGACTCCATCTCAAAAAAAAAAAAAAAAATTAAATAAATAAAAAGAAATCGATTAATCAATTTTTGTAAAAGAAAATCCTTCAGCCTTGAGGTAAGAAAAGCATATCTCTGCTGTTTTGCCAAAATGGACCTCTTCTCCCATGTGCTACATATTTAACTTAAAGTTCTTAATGCCCTTCTAACCAGCTGTGAGGTCAGAAAGACCTTTGCAGGGGGAAGGGGGTGAATGAGATATTTGCCCTCCCTGGTTGTAGGTGCCAACCGGTTGTTCACATCCACTCCTGAACTCTGACAAATCTCTTGACTTAACTGGGAAATCTTCAAATGTAAATGTGTTGATTACACAATTTTGAGTGCCTAAAGAATGAAGCCTTTTGAAAGTGTTTTGGGGCCACTTCAGCAATCCCACGGAAACTTGTTCTCTGTCAAGAATCACTTTTAAAAAGAAGTATAATTTTTTTAAAAGGCAGCACACCCACTTTTACACAAGCCTATCAGCTTTCTATTTAAAATGGCACTGAGGCAAGGAGGGAACAGACATTTCTGCCCTATCAAACATCCTCTAATGAGTTGAAATTAAGTGGCTGGGATCTTCAAGAATTCTTCAGGCTGGCCTGTCATTTCCTGGTAGAGATAGGAAAACTCACTGAAAACCTAGCAAAGAAAAAAATGACTGAGCCCCTAAGTGAAGAGCTCATCTTCCATAATTGCCTAGAAAATTCCTACAGAAGCTTCCAACTTTCTACAATTTTTTTAGTTCTGCCCTTGGTGGTTAACTAACGTGGTGCATAAGACTAGCATAGGGTAAGTGACTTGGCCTTTGTGGGAGGAGTAACTACAGTGAAGAAGCAGGAAGAGAAAAAATCTGTAGGCGCTCACTCTTGTAGACACTGTCCATATCTAGCCCTTCCTGTGCACACTGTCCTGTGCTAATACTGAGGAGAGGGGAAGTATTGTTTAGAAGGAAGTAGCTCCTCAAGGAAGGAAGTGGCCAGTACAGGAAAAACAAAGCAGAACCTTCCCAGAATAGAATTCACCTTTCACCTTTAACCTTTGACCACCCCTTAGGGCTCCTTACCCCACATCCAAGTCCTGTCAGACAGTGATACACACGTTAAGACCTGTGCCTTTGTCTAAGCCTGCCTTTGTCCATTGTTGAATCATGTATATTTTTCCAGAATTAATGACACGGGCATTTGTAGCCCACAGATACTGCTTGGATTCTCAAGCCCTTAATAAACAGTTGAGACTGTGCTGTTTGGTCTCATGATGATCATGGACAAGTTCTTCTGACCAACCGGACTGAAATCTGCTCCTCAGCAATAGGATCTTCCAGAAAATGACTCCCTTTAGCTTACATGTCTCAAACAACCAATATCATTGCTATTTTTATAAAAGCTTTGTGGTTGCTTTATACAGCAAACAATTTTAATTCTTTTTTCCCAAAAGAATTTCAGTAGCCTCATGTGGGTAAATCAATAGTTATTCTTCTGTTTACCTGGATCTCAGTTAATTGCTTAACAAAGAACGATCCCAGATGTTTTTGTCAAAGGAAAAAGTTGTTTTTGTGTGTAGATATCATACTCCCTCAGAATCTGTAATCATTCCAAAAATTACATAATGCGATCTTGACAACTTAAGGTAAAATAGTTGCAAAAAGAAATAGCTTCTTACACATACTCTATTTGCCTTTTTATTAGAGTTGGTTTCAGACATTCTTCACATTTTTAGGAAATCTTTTGATTTGTTTCTGTTTTAGTGTGTAATGTAAAACTCTCCACCTTTTAGTGAAACATATTAACCACTGAAAAATTAAAAACAGTATGAAGGTAGGAATAGTTGAAGCCAGTTTTAAAGACTTTAAAGCTAAAATAAATTGTTCAAATTATAATGCTCTACTTTCATATATATGTATTCCTAACAGACCAATAAAATGGAGTGCTTGTTGTTTATTGGAAATTGACATTCCAATGGTGTTAGCCAACCAAGTAATTCTTTTTTAAAGTTTCCTACACAAAAATGTGTACAAAGGAATGTTTTTATACCAATTAATGTTTATAGTTTGTTTTGGAACATTAAGTTAAACTAAGGTGAGTTTTATGTGTTCTCTTTTTACCATATTTAATGAATATCACTGGTGGGCAATTTTTCTTCTAGGGTTTTTAATCTTTGTTCCATTTCAGAGTAAGAGCAAGGGAAAGATACAAAATAAACACAAAAAGAAAGGCTTCACAGAGGCAAACAGATTATTGTATTATTTAAAGTGAGCATTTAATATTCTTTAAAGAAAAGTACAGCTAGATTACGTGCGAAGAGGCTGCACGAGATATTAGCCACCAACTGAAAAATGTTGCTGGGGGCGGGGTTGTTCTAGTCTGATGGGCCACAGGAAAAATTTTTATTGAATTCCAACTATGTGTACTGCTCTCTACGACAGGATTTTTATATGTAGCATTTCACATTATCATTTAACAAACCTACAGTGTTACTCTCTCCGTTTGGCAAAGAAAATATTGAGGCACAAATATTTAAGAAGATTGCAGGAAGTCACATAACTAATAACCGATAGAACTAGAATTTCAAAAAAAGGTCTGGCCAAGCATGGTGGTTCATACCTATAATCCCAACACTTTGGGAGGCTGAGGTGGGAGGATCCCTTGAGCCCAGGAGTTCAAGACTAGCCTGGGAAATATACCAAGACCCCATCTCTGCAAAAAGTAAAAAGAAAAAAATTACTAGCTGGGTATAGTGGTGTGTGCCTGTAGTCCCAGCGACTGGGGAGGCTGAGGTGGGAGGATTGCTTGAGCCTGGGAGGTTGTGGCTACAGTGAGCTATGATTGCATCGCTGCACTCCACCCTGGGTGACAGAGCAAGACCCTGTCCCCCCACCACAGACACACCCCTCAAAAATTTAGGTGTATTTGAATCCCATTCCTGAGCTCCTCTTGTTATAACCAAGAAAGACTCAGTACCTAGACAAGAGGATGGAGTATCACATGAAAATAAGCAGCAGAAGCTATAGCAAAACTGTGGTGAGAAGCAAGAGTGCTGGAATCACCAGGTCATGCTTAGATTTGGGAGACAGTTTTGAAATTTTAGCAAACAGAATGTGAGAACTTCTGACAGAGAAGCAATCACACAGCAAGGTTTCCAAGAGGAAAATCAAAAGAAAAAAACATAATATGTTACTTAGCTTTTAAAGGATGTGTCTAACCTACATAAAACAAAACATCAGTATAATCAATGAAATACTGACATGGAATGTAATGTCTCAAACACTTTTAGCAGAATAGCTCAAAATCCAATACAGAATAATCTATTGACAGCACTGTTACAGGCTTCATTTTTCTACCATAATCTGAAGGAATTGAAAATGTGGGTTTCTCTATCTCTTTTCTCACTTATGATAGCAAAAAGTGAGTGATTAAATGATTTTACATAAATAATGCTTTTGGAGTGGCCCTACATTTCTTGATGTGAAATACCTCTCTGTAATATATTCTGTTACACAGAAACATGAACACCAAAGTTTGCCAAATACACATGAATTGATGAAAATAATACAGAGGTCTTCTTAGAAGTCAGAATTTCAACCTTTGTTCTTAGAACAGCTAAGTTTAACTTCTCACTTGGCAATGGTTTATAATATTATATATTATATAATATATAATTAATTATATATGTTATATAAAATATAGATAATTTATATATTATATATAACTTTTTATATACTAATATATATTTTAATATATAATTATATATTAATGTATTAATATATTTTATTAATATATTAATATATTTTATATTAATATTTTGATGTATTTTATAATATATGTATTTTATATTAATATATTGATGTGTTTTATATTAATATATTAATATTATATATAATGGTTTATCATATATATATATATATATACACACACACACACATATACACACACATATACACACACACACACACAAAATCTTTGGGGCCAGGCATGGTGGCTCACACCCGTAATCCCAGCACTTTGGGAGGCCAAGGAGGGCAGATCACTTGAGGTCAGGGGTTCAAGATCAGCCTGGTCAACATGGTGAAACCTCATCTCTACTAAAAATACAAAAGTTAGCTGGGCGTGGTGGTGCATGCCTGTAGTCCCAGCTACTCAGGAGGCTGAGACAGGAGAATAGCTTGAACCCAGGAGTTGGAAGGTGCAGTGAGCTGAGATTGCACCACTGCACTCCAGCCTGGGTGACAGAGCAAGGCTCCGTCTCAAAACAAAAAAAAAAAAAAGAAAAGAAAACCTTTGGAAGCAATTTTTCCTGTTGAGTAAAATAGGCCCGTGAGCAGGGATCCTGGTTGTCAGCCAGCTTTTGAGGGCTCTTCCCAATCTAGATGTCTCTATTTGGGTGTGCTGTCTGCGTAATCATCCGGGTCAGTGGTGTCTAACATCCCCCATGGAAAGAATGCGGTGGTGACACCCAGCATTTGTTTTGTTTGTAGGGAGAACTTGTGAAAGCTAATGACCTTAGTTTAAGGCTGAGAAAACCCAATGAGTTGAAAGTGGCTAAAAACTGAAGACTCAAAAGATATTCCCTTTATTTTATTGTGCACTGGAGTAACCTCTAGTACCCCCTTGGCAGAAGCCTACACCATTAAATTTAAAATGTGATCACCTAACACCCTCATACGTGGGGCTGCATTTCATCACTCTGCCCACAGCCTGTCTTGCTGACATTCTTGACTGGCTGTGAGGCTGTCACTGAGCTTGCCTGGCAGGGCCCACAGTCACCCTTTCCAAGGCTATTGATCTCCATGTGAACAGTTGACAATTCTAATTTCAAACTCCGTATATTTCCAGTTGCACTTTGATGCTGTAATAAATCCAAGGCAAATTATACATATTTAGTTCCTAAAGTAATGATGTATGGATTTACTTTGGATATAGAAAAAATAAATATGCTGTGCATGTCCCCACTTCTTTCCTCCACAGTAACGCAGTATTTGTAAAACAAATGCCATAAAAATTGAGCTGTGAGTGATCCCAAGGAGTGTCTGCTTCTTTTCTTAAAGGCACAGGAAAATAGTATTTAATAATAATATCAAGAATATAATGTTCTACTTGATGTGTTTACTTATTGATAGTTAAATTTAATAGTTGGGGAACATTTGGTCTCTGCTGAAAATATATTTTGTGCTTTAAATTAATCCTTACTTCGATCAAATTTGTAGACTCTAAAGAGACATTCCTCAACAATTCCACCTGATCCCCACTTGTTACACAAGCCAGGCTGCTCAAGTTTCTATCTTTACCTTTACGTGGGGCACCTTTATCCTTTGCTGCAAATTCAAATTCGGATTCAAATTCAAATTTCCTTTGTTCTCAGAAGCCCACCTTCTTCAAAAAAGGCTTCACAATTTCCCTTGCCTTCCCAGAGACCAAAATGACTCAATGTTATTGTGGTAAAATATACATAGCATAAAATTCACCATTTTAATCATTTTAAAATGTACAATCCAAGGGCATTTTGTATATTTACAATGTTGTACAACCATCACCATTATCTACTTCCAGAACATTTTAATCGCCCCAGAAGGAAACCCCTGTACCCATTGAGCAGTCACTCCCGCCAACCCCTCCTCTTCCCAGGCCCTAGAAACCACTAATCTGCTTTCTGTGTCTACGGATTTATCTATTCTCGATAGTTCATGTAGTGGAATTAAGACAGTATGTAGCCTTCTGTGTCGCATTGTTTTTACTTGCTATAATGGTCTCAATTCATCCATGTGTGTAGCATGTATCAGTACTTCATTCCTTTTTACAGCTGAATAATAATCCATTGGATGGACATACCTCATTTAATTTATCCACCCATTAATAACGATTCAGAATGCTTCCACTTTTGGTTGCTATAAATAGTGCTGCAATGAACATTCTTATACAAGTTTTTGTTTGAAGACCCATATTTTATTTTTTCAATACAATTCTTGGAGATATAGATATAGATATATAGATATCTCCAAAAATATCTCCAAGGAATTAGTGAAGGCTTTTTTGAAGAAGGTGGGCTTCTGAGCACGAAGGAAATTTGAATTTGAGTCAGAATTTAGATGTATAAATATAAATGTATATATATTTAAGATAATTTGGCAGTTTCTTAGTAAGTTAAATATATAATTATCATATGACCCAGCAATTCTATTCCTGTTTATATATTTTATAAATTATAATTATATAAGTATAATTATATGAATTATATAAGTATAATTATATGAAATATAATTATATAAGTATATGAATTATATAACTATATGATTTATATAATTATAATTATATGAATATAACTATTCATATTTAAGAATATAACTATATAATTATATTCATATTATAATTATATAGTTATATTCATATTCAAGAATATCATTATATAATTATATTCATATTATAATTATATAATTATATTCTTATATAGTTATATTCATATAATTATATAGTTATATTCATATAATTATATAATTATATTCACATATAATTATATAATTATATTCACATATAATTATATAATTACATTCACATATAATTATATAATTATATTCACGTAATTATATTCGTATATAATTATATTCACATAATTATATACGTATATAATTATATAATTATATTCGTATATAATTATATAGTTATATACGTATATAATTATATACGTATATAATTATATAATCATATTCGTACGTAATTATATAATTATATATTCGTATGTAATTATATATATTCATATATAATTATATAATTATATTCATATATAATTATATAATTATATTCATATATAGTTATATTCATATAATTATGAATATAATTATGATATATATTTATATTATATATAAAATATATAAACATGAATAGAATTGGTGGGTCATATGATAATTATATATTTAACTTATTAAGAAACTGCCAAACTATTTCAAAAGACTTCATCATTTTTACATTCCCATTAGCAATGCGTGAACCAGTTTCTCTACCTCCTCACCAATACTTGTGATTTTCCTTTTCTCAAATTATGATAGCTGTCCTAGTGTGTGTGAAGCATTACATCACTGTAGTTTTGATTTGCAATTCCCTAATGGCTAGTAACCCTGAGCATCTTTTCATGTATGTTAGGCATTATCATCTTTGGAAAATGTCTACTGATTTGTAAATTTTTTCTCTTATTATTTGGGTTGTCTCTTTATCAACAGTTTCCTTTGACGCACAAAAGCCTTTAATTTTGATGAAGTCCAGCTTATCCTTCTTTTGTTGTTCATGCTTTTGGTGTCATATCTAAGACAGCATTGCCAAATTCAGTATCATGGACATTTTCATCTATGCTTTCTTCTAGGAGTTTTATAGTTTTAGCTCTTAAACATAGGCCTTCAATCCATTTTTAGTTAATTTTTGTATACGGTGTAAGGTAAGGATCCTAGTTTATTAATTTGCATGTGGCTAGTCAGTTGTCCCAGCACCATTTGTTGAAGAGACTGTTCTTTCCATCACCCATTGATTTTGAAACTTTCTAGTGGATAGCATTTTAGTTAATTATTATATATTGCTTTTTGTTGTGATTTGATACATGTATGTCTTATTTCTACAAGTAGAGAGGACTCCATTCAAGGGAGGGGACTGGCTTCTGTCATGTTTCTGGTATTTTATGTAAGGGCTAAAATGGTTCCCAGAGTGAGCAAAAAGGAATCAAAGAGGACGCAAGCCCTTGACCCAAGAAAATCAGAGTATTTTATTTAAAGAACAACTTTTAGTTGGTTGGTTTTTTTTTGTTGTTGTTTTTTTTTTGAAATGGAGTCTCACTCTGTCACTCAGGCCGGCGTGCAGTGGCGTGATCTCGGCTCACCGCAATCTCTGCCTCCCAGGTTCAAGCAATTCTCCTGCCTCAGCCTCCCAAGTAGCTGGGACTACAGGTGCCCACCACCACGCCCGGCTAATTTTTTTTTTGTATTTTTAGTAGAGACAGAGTTTCACCATGTTAGCCAGGATGGTCTCGATCTCCTGACCTCATAATCCGCCCTCCTCAGCCTCCCAAAGTGCTGGGATTTCAGGCGTGAGCCACCATGCCAGCCAGTTGTTTTTAATTATAAATGAATATGACAGAGTCTCTTCCCTCAAAATGTTCACAGCCTAATGGGGGAAGCCAATGCATTTAGTAACCATTAGACATAACATGGCTATTGAGTGGCTCAGATGCAGATCATTCTAGTGAGACATGTTATAAGAGGAAATGCACAACTTAGTACAAAGAGAAGAATGCCACACACATCCTTCATGAATTGTTGATATTAATAACGTTGTAAAATGATATTTTATACATTAGATTAAGTAATAAAGTCACAAACGTGATTTGGTTCTTTTTACTCTTTTAATGTGTCTTGTATTATATTTCTATTGGATAACACTGGCATAGACAAATGGAAAAGCAAGCATCTCACAGCTATACAAATAGTAAGAGAACTGATGTTTATATCCATTTCTTTAAATTTTAGAACTTAGGTTTTTATTTACTGTACTGTACAACTCAAAATTAACCAGGAGTATTAAGATGTGATTGCTGGCTCCAATTTGAAACTAGGAAGTGGGGCTTAGATTCACAACCTATATTCAGTTCTTTATTGTGCACAGAACACCTTCAAGGACACAAGCAAAAGACAAACATGCTGCCCACAGCCTCAAGTTTCAGGGGAGGCACACCTGTCCCACATCACCCAATTAGAGAACAATTACAGGTTAAGCCAGTGGTTCAAAACCAGAGGTAATTTGGTTTGGTTTCCCATGGAACATTTGGCAATGTCTAGAGATATTTTTGATTATCACAGCTGGGGGTACTACTAGTGTCTACTAGATAGAGGCCCAGGGATGCCACTAAATGTCCTATAATGCACAGGACAGACCCCCACAACAAAGAATCAGTTGACACAAACTGTACATAGTCCTGAGGTTGAGAAACCCTGGGCTAAACCATTGCTAAGGGAAGTATTTCAGAGAAAGAGGAGGTGATTGCATGCTGGAGCTCTCAGGGGAAATGACACGAAGGAAAGGACCCTTAGGCAGACTATGAAGTCTTGGCACGTTCTGCTGGGTAGAGGGATGGGGTAAAATGGGCAATAAGAGTGCTGCCAGTTGGGGAGGAGTGTGGCAAGGAGTGGAACTAGAAATGGACTTGAGCCCCTTGGAGTAGAGTGTGTCATGAAAGGAAGCAGTGACTAGAGAGGTGATCTGCAACTCAGAAGAACTGGATTTTAAACCTGATCCTTCTACCTGGCAGCTGGGTGGCTTTGAACAAATCATGTGAGTTTTCTCAACTTCAATATAGTCCTCTGTCAAATGAAAATAATTGTAACAACTTTGACTCTTTCTAAGTTTTGAGTATCAAATGAGACCTTTGGTGTAAAATAATTCATCACTGAAAATACAAAGTATTATTGTTGACTTTATTGTTGTGTTTGTTGCTAAACTGAGTTGGTGCCAGAGTGTGGAAGGCTGGCAAGGAGAGGAAACTGGGTCTGATGAGACCATCTGGAACAGGACAGCAATAAGAGGACAGTGACTCTTCGGAAGGTTCACTTTGATGCAATGTGTAGGAAAGATGGGAACTGCGAGAGAATGGAGTTAGAAAAATCACCTAGGAAACTTTTCTGGGGAAACACCATGAGTGGGTAAGAGGGATCTGGTGGGCACTAAATGGATTCGAGCAGCCACTCCCAGCAGGGCACACTGGGGAGACGAGTTGTAGCCTTTTGTAGAGGTAGACAGAAAAATCAGTAGATTACTCCACGGGCTTGCGCACTAGTCCTATCTAATGCGAAAGATTACGAGTGAAAAATATATGTGGTTTCTAAGACTGGGTGTTTAATATTTTATAAATAATCAACACAGAATCTTAAGAAAATATGGATTATGAAGTTTCCCTGAATATGTCTCACCTTCAATAGTTCTACAATAGTAGTATGTTTTAAAGTTTGCTTCCCTAGTAGGATGTACTTTCTAGCTCTTTGTTTGAATTTTTTTCACATTTAATATTTGTTTTTGTTTTTTGAGATAGGGTCTTCTCTGTCACCCAAGCTGGAGTGCAGTGGCGTGATCTTGGCTAACTGAAACTTCTGCCTTCTGGGCTCAAGTGATCCTGCTGCCTCAGCCTCCCAAGTAGCTGTGACTATAGACGTGCCCCACCACGCCCAGCTAATTTTTGTATTTTTAGTAGAGATGGGGTTTCACCATGTTGGCCAGGCTGGTCTCAAACTCCTGACCACAAGTGATCCACGCACCTCGGCCTCCCAAAATGTTGGGATTACAGGCGTGAGCCACTGTGCCCAGCCTTCACATTTAATATTTAAATTCAGAGTCTTTCAGCCTGGTACCTAGGCAGATAACTACTTTTATTAATTTTTTTTGTTAAAATTATTTTTTTGTAAGACGTTTGGGAAATGATCTAATAGTTTTACTCTATCGTAAGGATATAGAGAATGTAGAAAGTAGGCTCCGTTAGCATGTAAGCTTCCAAAGGGCAGGGATTTGGGGCTGTTTTGTTCATGGTTATAATCCTTTGCTTAGAACACTGCCCAGCACATGGTAGCCTCTATAATTATTTGCCGAATGAATAAATGAACAAATGAATTAATAAGAGGCACATATTGTGTGTGTACTCCTCCTGGATGGTTACGTGGTTAAATGGGCACTGTGTGCATTTTGTGGTGCTGAGTTTGACAATATCTTATTCCCAGTCATGGAGCAAGGCGCTTACAAAAGCCCTGTCATGAGACCCATCTATTGCCACTCATTGATTGCCACCAGCACTCAAATCAATCATTTTCTCCTCTCCTTTTTACCTCCCCTGGAACCCAGCAGCGGTAAAATCAGTAAAGTTGGAAGTGGATGAAGATAAGAGCACAAAGGGATCCAATTTTTCCAACTCGGAAGTGGCAATTGGTTTGTCTCCTTACACCTTTCCCCAGAAGAGGCTTTTCCATGTTGCTGGAGAAGAAAACATCACCTAGGCCGGTGTGTGCCTGGCAGAACACTGCACTCCAATTTCCTCGGGCAGCCACAAAAAAAAAAAAAAAAAGGTGGGGTTGGGGCCGGGGGACAGCTCTTCAGTAAGATGTGACAATATGCCAGTTTCACCAATGATAAGAGAAACCTGAGATACCAACAGTCAGCACAGACCACAGGTCATGTTTGACAGTGCAAAGCTGCAAGGTCCTTCAGACCAAGCAAATAGGAGAGTGGGCTCCAAAGCCTGTCAACAGGGTCCCGAAAGCTAAAAGGGAAACTTTCCTAAAGAACCCGGGAAACAATGTAAGGATGCTAAATTGGTCATTTACGGATGCCCTCCCTGGTTAGAAGAAACTTCCTTTGCATACGTTCCACTCTCTTTAACCATTCTGAGGATTTCCTAGCCATCCATAATGTCTGCTCACTTTCTGCATCAACTTGCAATTTGTTGTGTACCACACTTGAAATCTTCACTTAGAAGAGAAAGAGAAGCCCTGGGATATTGTACTCAGAATATATCTTCTTATAAAGAAAACAAATAAACAGCCAGGCCCAGTGGCTCACACCTGTAAACCCAACACTTTGGGAGGCTGAAGTGGACGGATCACTTGAGATCAGGAGTTCGAGAGCGGCCTGGCCAACATGGAGAAACCCCATCTCTACTAAACATACAAAAATTAGCCAGGCATGGTGGGAGTCGCCTGTAATCCCAGCTATTCAGGAGGCTGAGGCATGAGAATCGCTTTAACTCGGAAGGCAGAGGTTGCAGTGAACTGAGATCACGCCACTGCACTCCAGGCTGGGCAACAGAGGGAGACCCTGTCTCCAAAAAAAAAAAAACGGAAACAAACATAACATAAACACTTATGAAACGCATCAAGTTACCAAATTCTCATTAAGCATTGGTTTGAAATTTTATTGTACAGTTGGGTCCATACAGCAGACATGGCTAAGATACATAAAAGATGAGACTGCATTATTGAAGAGGCATCAAACAGGGAAAAGGAAGCTGCTATGTGGTTTCTTTCGCCGGAAATGAAAGCCTCTCAAGTTTCATATTTAATTCACGCAAAAAGCCAACTCATTAGTGTTTTTTAAAGTAGCATATATATTCAAATGGTATATCTTTGGATTTAAAACCAATTATTTTCTAACATCTTTTCAAGATTCTGTAATTTATGGGTTCTCTGAAACTCTGATGAGTCCTGATTAACTTGGGAAGACATTATTCTTTAATCTGTATGTAGAAATATAGAGGCTTCTGTTGTTATTTCTATATATTCCAAAGATATAAAGTGTATTATAGGTGACAATAGTGCCCACAGAGGTGTATAATGCACAACTGTGCACCTCTATACAGTGGGCCCAGGTATATGTACACGTCTGTGTAGTCATTTTGCTTTCCTGAGCTACATACAGCCAAAAATGTCTGAAGAAAATTCTGTTTTCTCAGAGCCTATAAATTCCTTATCTGTGTATATTTAATGTTGATATTATCATGCAGAATTTTTATTAAGTCTTTCACTGTATCTTTGAGCGAGACTAAAATGAAGAGCAGTCCATTAATATCTGTCTTCAACTCCCACTACATTCAACATCTCTTTTTGAAATGTGAGGATTCCAAAAGAAAATTAAGCCATTTAAAAATCTATACATAGCAAATAGAAAGTGATACAAATAAAAAATTTAAACGGCGCCCTTCAGTAAAGCAAATTTGGATGAGATCAAATGAAAAGAGTGAAAGCTTAAGCTAGAAACAAACATTTAGTCAAACGGAAAACATTTCTGGACTTCTGCTTTTCAGACCTGTCTGCCTCCCAAGCTGTTATATGGTGATATTGAAAATGCTTTACATATCACAGAGATAACTGAAGGATTAAAGGCATGTTTGAAGTTCTTGGAACTATTCTAAGAAAGCCACTCGAGAAAGCACAAGCACCGTCAATAATACTGTGCAGTCCATCATTAAAAACGGGCAATCATTTGTCACCCATTTCATCTTTTCCTTCTATTTTCTCACATTAAACTATCACATCATAGTTAACATTTTGAAAATCAATTTTATGTTGCATAATGAGTGCCCAGAGCAATACCAAAACCGTATAAACCAGGACAAGCAGAAAAAGATGGTCTTATGAAATGAACAAATAAGAATTCACTCATGTCAAGCACTATGCTAAGCACTAGAGACATAGCAATAAATGCAGAGGCAACCCCTGTCCTCATGAAACCTAGCAGAGCAGAGAGTAATTCCTGATTGTTCCAAAAACAAAACAAAACAAAAGCAGTGTGCCATTGAAATGTGTACGCACACATGGACCTAACATAGTGTAGGGGAAGATCAGGAATATAGACAGGGCAGAGGGAATTCTGGAAGCTGAGAAGGCCATCGTGGCTGGTTGGTCATCCTGATATTTTTAAAAAGCCATGTATGTTGTTAAGAGGAATGGAAGCCTCTGTAATATAAACTTAATAACATAACATAAATTTCTTAACATAGAAATTCTCTACGGAATGTTTACATATTTATAACATAACTTGTTGAAACTGGGTCAATGTTCATTGTTTTGTCTATCAGGGACAGTACCAGCTGCTTTCATGCATGCCTTTTCCATGGGGTGTTAATGTCCTGGTTATGATTTATTTAACCTCGTTGTTGACCAGCTTTAGTTTGTCAACATTTGACATAGGAGTTGTGTTAAAATTTCATTCTAGCATGCTGACATATACAATACACAGTTATTTTACCTGCCAGGATTTCATGTATGTTTCCAAAAAAGCCTCTACTCTTCCTCAATTTGGGGGTTTGTTTTCTTTTCAATTCCAGCCTAGTTTTTATTTCTACTCTATAGTTATCATGCTGTAACAAATCATTTCAATTACAAGGAACTAGGCAAAAGAAATTGACATTTTCACCTACCAAATCCTGGTAAGGTGTTATTGTGTTTTGTATCTAATAGACAGAGGAAACATGACTAGCATTTGTTGACAACTGATATAGTGGCTTGCAAGGAGTTTTAGAAAGAGACCAATATTTACCTCAAAAGTTCCCTACAGAAGATATTGCTCTCCTTCTCTGTCTTCCCCACACCCAGCTGATGCAAGTGAACCCCAAAGTTGGGGCTTAGCCTCAGAGGGTTTTTGGCTTCACTCAGGAGAGAATGCAAGTGTGAGCTGACAGTGAAAGAAAGCAAGTTCATTAGAGCAACAGTGTACAGCAAAACGGTGTTCCATAGACAGAGCAGGGCTACCCCTAGGCAAAGTAGCACACAGAGTACAGCAAAACGGTGCTCCATAGACAGAGCAGGGCTACCCCTAGGCAAAGTAGCACAGAGTAGCCCTTGTGCATTGATGGCTAGCTATATTTATGCTCACTTTTAACTATATGCTAAGTAAGAAGCGTATTATTCACAAACTTCCTGGGAAATGGGGCAAGGAGTTCCCAGAACCACATAATGTAACTTCCAGGTCGTTGCCACGGCATTTATAAACTGTCGTGGCACTGTTGGGCATGTCTTAAGCAAATACGTGATAATTCCTAGTCCTAGCTGGTTTGAGGCAGTTTCTTTGCCACATCCTGTTTAGATCAGGAGGGTCTTGAAAACAAGTCCTGCTCATCTCCTACCTCACCCCCATTATTTATTTGTTTAGTAGTTGTAAGTCTAGAAGAATGAGAAAGCTGACACTCTATTCATTTTAAATGTTCATTCTATTCCTACAGATGAAATGATTTAAAACTAATAGATTATTTAAGGCAGAAGAACTTCAGACCAGGGAAAGAGACTTAAAAGCGGCAAGAATAGCAAATGCTGTATTTGGTTTTCATTCTGAAGATAATAAGGGCTAAATCATTTTCCTCAAAAGATGTCAAAGTATGTATTTAACTATCAAGTCACTGAAAGTGGAAAACCTAAAGCGGTTCTATTGAACTACCAGGTACCAAATAACCGATGAGGACCAACTGTGTTACAATAGCAAAATATCAATTTTCTTCTTTCCAAAAGTCAGAGAAAGTATTTCTAAAATTGATTTAATGTAGTAAATGAATTTTCAATAAAAAGGTTTTTGAAAGATAGACCTCTATAGAAGAGCAAATCTTATTGCTTCTGTTTACTTTATGATGCAATTTTACACCTATTAGCAGGGTTAGCATACTTCGATTTTTTTCTTCTAAACTTTCATCTCCAATAAAAGTTTGTTGACATTGACATTGACAATGACAATGCCTCCAGTAAAAGTTTGTTGACAATGACATTGTTGATGTCATTCAGTGCTGTGATCTTTGATCTTCTCCCTTTAATAAATATCCTGGTCTTCTAAAAACAGTATTTAAAGATACCCAGAATTGAGAGCGGAGGTGGGAAACCACATTTGCTAAGCACAAAAGAACAGGATAGAACTCTTGGACTATGCTGTGTTTTGTTAGCTATTTTAAAAAAATAAAATAAAAGCAAGAAATCAGTATTGACACATGGGCAACAAGTTTCCAATTTTTTCTATCCTTGCTCCAGTAGCATTTAACTATAGAAATTTGAGAGTAAGAAAAAAACATTTCCTCTCTACCTCCCTACCCCACACCAAACACCAAAATTTAGCAACCATAATCTTAATATTTCAAAGGTCATAACTGATTTTAGCTTATTGCCTAGACTTGCCATTCTCATATTTAACATTTACAGGGTGTGTTAGGCTGTCCTTGCATTGCTATAAAGAAATACCTGAAACTGGGTAATTTGCAAAAAAAGAGGTTTAATTGGCTCCTGGTTCTGCAGGCTGTACAGAAAGCATAACACCAGCATCTGCTTCTGAGAAGGCCTCAGTAAGCTTACAATCATGGCAGAAGGTGAAGGGGGAGCAGGCATCTCACATGGTGGAAGTAGCAGCAAGAGAGACAGGAGGGAGGTGCCACACACCTGTAATCGGCCAGATCTCATAAGAACTCATTGACTATCACGAGGACAGTACCAAGAGGATGGTGCTAAACCATTCATGAGAAATCCACCCCCAAGACCCGAACACTCCACCAGGTCCCACCTCCAACACTGAGGATTACATTTCAACATGAGATTCGGGCAGGGACAACATCCAAACTGTATCACAGGGTTTTGCTATTTTTTCTATTTATGAGCAATACCATATTCTATAATCTCAAATAAGCTTTAATTTTGTCAGACAGACTGATGAGCAGAAGTCATCCACTAGTGAGTGAGCTTAGCTACTTTTCCTATGTCCGTATCTCATCATGATGTTATTGTTCTCTACTTGCACTAACTCTCCAAAGGAATTATGTTTATATAGTGAAAATTATATGCAATACTGGAAATTAAGATTGCATGGACTCTCAAAAATCTTGAGATGAGTCTTTATAGATATCTATCTATAGATTTATAAGGATACATAGGTTGATAGTCACAGACAAACATCATACATCAATATATATCAAATAGCTACAGGAATTATTAGCAGTTCCTGTAGCCTTGGTGAAAAAGCAGTTCCCCAGTCCAAAGATCTTTTTATCAAGGAAGTATTTGTTTTTCTGGCATCTACGGGCTTTAGAAAGAATCTAGTTAGAAAAATCAAAGTCATCAAGTTATTCTTAACATTCGTTTTATTTTCATCTTCTTTAACATTTGTCACATTCTATAACATCAACTAAAATAGTCATGTGTGGAATACAATTAATGCACACATTATAAATGATATTTTCACAACTTAAGCTGCAAATAAGAGATGTTAGGCCATTCATTTTTCTCTTCTGATAGAAACATTTTTTATTTTTCCCACATCATCAGCTCTTCCAAGTTTTAAGGAATTGCTTGTAAAACTATCTTACTTCTTAGCATTTATTAGAAGTGTGTGTGTGTGTGTGTGTGTGTGTGTGTCTGTGTGTATGTGTGTGTGTGGTGTGTGTTTCTTGTCCTGCATTGAAATGTCTATTATCTTTTTAATTTTATAACTTAATCCTTAAGCCACGGTTCCAAAGTCATGACTCATACTTGATCTGAAATTCTGGGCATTGCAGAAAGGAAGCAGAAGTTCGATAAAATATCACATAAGAAGAACTTTTAATCTAAAAACCCTGCACCAAAGAAAGGAAGACTAATTGTAGCAGCCTTTAAAACTGATATTGTGAATTTGCTACATTTTTGTAAAATAGAATAGTTTCTACTGGTAAACAAAGTGATAAATAATAAAAATTGTTTTCTCTTCATAATGTTCTTGGGAAGACTGGCCAAAATAGAGGCAAGGAGCCTGATAACAAAAATCTTTGGCTGTGTTTCTAAATTTAGTCCTTCTCTGCCTAGAAACTGATAGGTAATAAGATATGAATAAGCTTCATGCAATTTATTTCCATGTCCATATTTTATTAAATTTCTTGAATTCTGTATGACAGTATACATATATAACCTCATGAAATCCTGATGTTTTAAACAGTTTAGTACCTAAAAACAATAACACCAACAACAAAAACAGAAGCCAGCCTTAAAGATATATACATGTGACGTTGCTCACTGAGAAGTCCTTTTCTAGTCAACCCATGGTTTAAAATTCACAGAGCTAAACATAAGATGGATTTTAAATCAAAATACTATGGTGAATTAAAACAAATACTAGACATTTTGCACTTTGAACCAAATAGAATCTCAACTGGTAATTCAGCTTCTCAAATGTCATAACTTACAGTGGCCTCCAAACTGTTTTAAAATGGGTATACATAATACTGTCAAGTACACACTATGTATATCATAATCACTAAAGCATGGTTTCTCAACCCCGGCACCATTGACGTTTTGGGCAAGATAATTCTTTGTCGTGGAGAACTGTACATCATGGGATGTTAGCAGCACCCCTGGCTTCTACCAACTGTATGTCGGCAGTACCTCCCCCAGGTGTGACAGCCAAAACCTCTCCAGACACTGCCAAATGTCCCCTAGGGAGAAAGATCACTCCAACTGAGAACCACTACTCTAAATAACGTTCATGTAACACTGCACTAATATATGGTGTAAAGCAACCATGAAAAAATGTCTATTTTTAAGGTTGAGTTTCTTTTTTAATAGGGCCAAAAGAAACTTTCTTTCTCTATAAATGTTATAATGAATAACTTTTAGGATAAAAAATATGACAGAATATGCTTGAAGTTGCTTTTTAAATCTTAGCCTAAAGAAGGAGGCACACCGATTCAAACTGCAGTTTAATACTTGATTTTAAAAGCCGTGAAGGTAGAAAAAGACATGTAACTCCAAACGGACAAAATACAACTTTTTTACTAAGTCATGATGCAAAATTTTTATCTAGCCTAACAGTAACCCAAAGGAGTCTACTGAAATTTTACTAGTAAATATATATGCCTTGATGTCTTGAAAACAAATCGGAAATTGCATTTTTATATTTTGAATACGTAATTTGAAATTACCACAAGTGCAATTATTAATTTGTCAAAATTTTAATTGATTGGAAAACTGTATTCAGATTTTTAAAATTTGTGTATGAGTTTTAATAGGTAGTAAATACACATCATTTTCAGTAATAAATTCATATAACAATATACACATTTCCAAAATATTTTTAGAATGATTTATACATAACACAACTTCTTTTATAAAGCACTTACTTGCTCACTCATTGTTTAAGTGACATCTTTATCTTGGAGAAACAAATTATGTAATGTTTAAAAAAATGTATTCTCAGTAGCATAATAGTGACAGCTGCTTATCATCACTGAAATGTCAGTAAATTTGAGTTATTTGATTTTTGTAAAAAAAAAATTAGTAAGTCATGTGCTGTTCGAGTTCTTTGCTCTGAGATAACCAGCAAACCTCTGTATGGTAACAAATGGTGTTTGTGGCCACTCCCTACCTCATTTCAAATATTGTAAAGAACTCACTTTTTACTAATTTGGGTTTTTTTAATGAAAACATTAGAATATCAATGTCAGTCTATAGCATTTTGTGCACTTTTAGCTTTAACTTTTTGCTAAAATAGCTCGTTTATTAATTTTGCAATGTTATCTCCATAAACTTAGCCTAGAATTCTTTCTGTGGTTACATTTATAGTTTTTAGATGAAATATTATATTTGTTAAACGAGCCATTTACTGTTGAGACTATCACCTCATTGGTCTTTCTTCCCTTTAGTGGCTCATAATGAAAGGGGGAAGGTAATCGTTCATATTCCATCACTGAAACAAAATTTAGCAAATACTATAAGCCGAGACGTATTAGAAACATCTGTGCTTACATTTACTGTATATTCCAAACCTTTTACATGACATAATTTGTTATAAAACTTGTTTATTCAGATCTTTTGCAATGTCGACTGTGTTTTTACTGGGAAATACATTCAAAGGAATGTATTTTAGCCTGCTAACCACGTTGTTTTCCAAGGATTCTTTCAGCCATTTTTACTAAGGCAAGATGAACATGTTTCCTCAATGAGTCTTTAGATCATTGGCTATTCAGTGAAGTTTTTCATTAAACATTAATTGGGTGTTACATAACTAAACATCACAGGAGAAATCACAGAATATATTTAAAATGTCTTGCTAACAGTGATGACTTTGCTCTATCCTTAGCTAACATCTCAAGGCACATTTTTCCTCTAGGTCAAGGTTCACTTTGAAAAAGAGTAAGGGGCTATCTATATTTTAATAGTCTTCTTGATCCTTCCATGGGGGAGAAGGTGGAGGCAGAAATTTTGTCAAATCTGATTAGATTGTCAAAACATCAATAGTTCCTAATAGGACTCAGAGAAATGTCAATGGTCTCTTGCTCTTCACTTTGTCTTGACTTATTAGTATTATTTTAGTCAAATTTCTTTCAGATGAGATAATATGTCTTTAAACTCTCTTATGTCTACTTATGTTCATCCATAAATGACTTGAAACATTTAAATCAAGCTTGTCCAACCCACGGCCTGTGGACTACATGCATCCCAAGACAGCTTTGAATGCAGCCCAACATAAATTTGTCAAGCTTTCTTAAAATATTAGAAGAATTTTTTGCTATTTTTTTTTTAGCTCATCAGCTATCATTAGTGTTAGTCTATTTTATGTCTGGCCCAAGACAATTCTTCTTCTTCCAATGTGGCCCAGGGAAACCAAAAGTTTGGGCCCCCCGCCCTTATGTAAATGATGAAAGCAAAAGAATGATTGAGAGAGACTTGGCCAACTCATTTATGCCGCGGAACCACAATCTCCCCTTAACAGACTTTGAGTATAAGTGACACATGCCATGTGGAATGAAGTAGGAATCAGCATTAATCCACTTAAGTTAAATATTTGCAAAGCTTAAATTTATTCTTCAATTAAAAAATGATATAAATAGAAGTTAGTCATATTTTCTCCAATGGATCATCTTGCACAATTGCCGGGGGTACCAGACCCCATTTTCAGAAGCCCTGCCTTAGAGTAAGTCCAGCTATTCTTACAGGTGCAAATGATATTTATTAGTCTGTTCTGCAGACTGAAATGAACTCTGTTTTCCTATCTAAAATGAAAACTTGCAATGTAGTTTTTTGGCATTTTTTTTTTCCTAGTGTGACCACCCAATAATGCCATCTGGTCTATAATAGCCTCATTTTAACATGGGATTGCAAAATGCCATGTTGCAAGACTGGCCAAATTCAGGCAGTATGATCAAGAAGGTGTTAAGAAGCAAGCCAATTAGTGTCATAGTTACAGTTATGATGCAAAATGTAAGACAGGTGCTTGTACCAGAAACTGATTGAAAAGCTTTCTTTCCACTTAGTTATATGTAAAGGCAATGCAGGAATCTGACCACAAGCATTCCCATAAATATTTAAAAACAGTTTTCTGGCTGAGTTAATAAATGAATGGAATGGTTCAGAATTTCCAGCCACAGTGTGACAAGTAATTGGTGAAATCTGCAAAATACCTAGTGCCTATTTAAAAAGATGTTATGTTTTCAGATCATTAAAATACAGCATTTTATTTGCCAATGATTTATTTTATTTGTAAAGTATCTTACTCATAATGAAATGAAATAGCCATGACTTTAGCTCAATAAAATATTTTACTGCTTCTAAAACCTATGACTGTGTGTGTGTATGAAGTAAAAGAGTTGAAATTACCCTGAAACTGTCTCCATCTGTAATTATTATTATTTTTAGATAAAAAGATTTTTTAAAATCTGAAATTTAATCCTTGCTCATTAATACTCATCAGCAAAATACTAAAGCGGACTTTAAAGTCTAAGGGAAATAGTGTACTTAACCTTCACCTATGATAGCGGTTCTCATTACATTGGCCGGCAAGTAACAGAAAGTGAATGAGCATTGTAAAGACAGCTGCTCTTTTCAGAGTTTGGTTTTGCACTCCGTCTCTCTGTTTTCCACCCATCCAGCCCACTCAGCCTCTATGTATTAGCACATCCAACAGAGGTCATCCAACCGCGGGTCCCGTCATCCTAATCCTTGGAGATTACTAGACCTAATGAAGACTTCAGAAATATTTCTGGCTTGACAGTAATATTTTCCTTAACAGAACAGTCTTTTTTCCCCCTGAGCATTTTTGTCCTTCCAAACTTCAAGACTTTCTTCAAAGTCACCTCCGACCCCAACAACACACACCGTGAGTACTACAATGATTCTGTTGACACAAAACACATCAAAGACCCAAGAAGTTACTAATGCTATGAAGTCTGTGCATGGCTTGTCATGGTGCCTCCTCCAGGGTAATAGCAATGGCAGGGAAATGAGTCAGCAAAAACCATAAATGACACTTCCAAGGAAGAGAATAGATCTAAAATTAAGGTTAAACTAGAGAGCTCTTTTCCTATCATGGTATTTTCCATCCATTCTGTTCTGTTTCCCAAAAGGTTTTTTTGCAAGTAAAAGACAAGAATCATATCACAAAGCTATTTTAAAGAGAATTTCCTCTTCTGTCAATAATCCTGAGGAATATTTGCCTTAAAAAGTAAAAGCCTATGTTTACAACCGAGTACACCACAGAGGGAGGGGGAGGACATTCGTAGAAGAAAACTGACAAGAAGAGAGGATGGAAAACTAGTCTATCAAAACACTTCTGTCCAGACGTGTCACCAGATGCATAGTTCAGACAGGATTGCGCACAATCTCCAGGTTTTCTTCAACTTCTTCCTATTCATAGGAAATTCAATCTTCATTTCATTTTTGGTAACTTTCCAGGGTTAGAAATACTCATCTCCAACAGAATTCTAAAACCCATAGAAGAAATCTAGACACTTCCTGTTACGTCTTATTTCCCTTTTCTGTTACTAATTTCCCACTGAAATTCCCTATTCATTATTTTGGCTGAGTAGCCCAGGTATTGTTTGAAAAAAGAAATCATTCAAATAAACGTTTGTTAAAAAATCATGGTAATTATCGACACTTAATGCTGAGTTTTCTCCAGCATCTTCCAACCTAAAATAGAAAATGTAGAAACTAGTGAGTAATTGAACAGCACGTAAGTGAACACAACCTAGATACCATGAAGTCAACACTATCTTAAATTTAAGGCAAGACAAAGATAGGTAAAGTGTGCAAGGTTAGTTTTCAGAAGAAGAGGCATAGGACTGAATCCCACTTTCCTACTATTCGGTTTTCATGAAAGACTGACTAAAGCTGAAATCTCAAGCTAATTTTGATAAAGAAAGGAAATAAGATGTGTTACAAGGGGGAAGCTTGGTGACTCATGCCTGTAATCTAGCATTTTGGGAGGCTGAGGCGGGTGGATTACTTGGGCCCAGGAGTTCAAGACCAGCCTTGGCAACATAGTGAGACCCTGTCTCTACAAAAAATACAACAATTAGCGAGACACAGAGGTGCATGCCTGTAGTCCCAGCTACTCAGGAGGCAGAGGTGGGAGGATCACCTGGGGCTGGGAAGTCAAGTTTGCTGTGAGCTGTAATAGCACCCCTGCACTCCAGCCTGGGTAACAGTGAGACCGCATCTCAAAAATAAATAATTAAAAATTAAAAAAAAATTAAAGGTGGGGGGAACTTCAGTTTTGATAAAAGTAAAGTCACAGTGTGGGAAGTGAAATAGAAATCAAATGAATAATTAAATAGGAGGGAAAAGATAAAGCCCACAGCGAAGCCAAGAAGACAGGCAGGCTTAGAAATTCTGCAGAGATGGTAGAAAGACGGCAATTTTACTAAGTCTGGAGAATAAAGACCCAGTTCATTGGCCTAAATATCCAGGAATACAAACTTGATATAACATTCTCATTGCAAAGAAATGGCAAGTGTTTGAGGTGATGGATATGTCAATTATCTGATCTAATCATTATACAATGTACGTATGTATCAAAACATCACACTGTACCCTGTAAATAAGTACAATTATTGTGTCAATTAAAAACAAAACTTATTAAAACGTTTTAAATTTAAAAATACCCTATTGAGGCCTGGCACAGCGGCTCACACCTGTAATCCCAGCACTTTAGGAGGCCGAGGCCGGTGGATCACGAGGTCAAGAGATCAAGACCATCCTGGCCGACATGGTGAAACCCCTTCTCTATTAAAAATACAAAAATTAACTGGGCGTTTTGGCGCGCACTGGTAGTCCCAGCTACTTGGTAGGCTGAGGCAGGAGAATCACTTGAACCAGGGAGGCAGAGGTTGCAGTGAGCCGAGATCGCACCACTGCACTCCAGCCTGGTGACAGAGCAAGACTCTGTCTCAAAACAAACAACGAACCAACCAAAAAAAAAAAAAAAAAAAAAACCTTTTGGGTACTAGACTTAGTACCTGGGGGAGAAAATAATCTGTATGACAAACCCTGTGACATGAGTTTACCTATATAACAAACCGGCATGTATATACCCCTGAACATAAAATAAATAAATGTTTGAAAAAAATAAAAATTTAAAAATACATTTTGTACACATTCATGATGCGTTTTAGAGAAACTATCAAAGATGAGGAGTTCAGTATTATAAAACCACAGAGAAGAATGTCCAGAATCTACATTTGGAGATTTTGGAGACTCCAAAAATCTCAGTGACACAAATTGCTTTTTCTCCTGAATCATTAAATTGCAATAGTACTTAAATAACTTGAATGGTGACTGTGGCTTTTATTCTAATATATTAGAAATTAAGAGCTTTTCTTCTCTAACAAATTCTCAGCTATATTTTATAGTTCTTGTAGTTGTTCAATACTGCCTTCTTAAATTTATTTTCTCAATAATCTCAATTCTTATAATGTATTATCAGAAGGTATAAAATATTTGTATTTGTTCTTATGCTTTTTTAATGTAGGTTTTACACTCAAAGTGATCTTTACAATGTGAACTGTAATGAATATTTTAATTTTTATTATTACATGCAAAAAATCATTAAAATAGCAGTTTGACACAATATATTTGACAATTTCATTTTTTCGTCTCTAAGTTATTTCAGAAGTGAATTCCTGCTTTGAACACTGAAAATGCAACTCTGAAAGATTCCCAAAACCTTGGATCCAGTCCCAAACAAATCAGAAACAGGCTGTTGGCTTTTTTTTTTTCCTTGTTTCCTTGTTTTCTCAATTGCCAATTTGTTTTATTATTTGAAGGGAAGAAGGAGACAAAAGTCCAAAAATAAAAGCCCTGCTTGTTTCCTAATAACTATCCACATGAAACCCACTGTACTCAGTAATCTGAATCAACTCCATTTTTTGTGTGTGTTCTGTAATTATAGTTGAGGCTATAAATGGAGATTCAGAGCCAAACCTAGGTTCTATAATATGCGTAAAATCAAAACTGAAGGGCTGGGTGCAGTGGGTCATGCTTGTATCCCCAATAGTTTGGGGGGCCAAGTCTGGAGGATCACTTGAGGCCAGGAGTTCCGGACCAGCCTGGGCAGCATAGTGAGTCCCCATCTCCACAAAAAACAATTTGAAACAGCTGGGCATGGACCTGTCGTCCCACCTACTCAGGAGGCTGAGGTAGGAGGATCTCTTGAGCCCTGGAGTTGAAGGCTGCAGCGACTTATGACTGTACTACTGCAGGCCAGCCTGGGCAACAGAGTGAGACTCTGCCTCTCTAAAAAAAAACACACACACACAACAACAACAACAAAAATTGTAATCAGTCTCGTAGACAGTGATCGTGTACAAAGTTCTATTTAGGAAAGAAAACATCAGTATTTAAGTCTACTTTTATTAAGAATGTGGGTTCCTAAACCAATTCGTCTGGTTAGGAATCAGCTCTGCCACTTTTATCTGGGTGGCAAGCAAGTTATTTAATCATTCGACACCTCAATTTCCATACCTGTAAAATAAGAATAATAATAGTAAATTATCGGCCAGGTGCAGTGGCTCATGCCTGTAATCCCAGCACTTTGGGAGGCCGAGGCGGGCAGATCATGATGTCAGGAGTTCGAGACAAGCCTGGCCAACATAGTGAAACCCCGCCTCTACTAAAAAAAATATATATATACAAAAAATAGAAAAAATTTGCAGGGCGTGGTAGCATACACCTGTAATTCCAGCTACTCAGGAGGCAGAGGCAGGAGAATCGCTTGAACCCAGGAGGCGGAGGTTGCAGTGAGCAGAGATCACGCCATTGCACTCAAGCCCAGGCAACAGTGTGAGATTCAGTCTCAAATAATAATAATAATAGTACTTCTCTTATAGGGTTGTTATGAGGATTAAGTGAATTAATACATCTAACTCTTTCAGAACATTGCCTAGCATACTATAAATACTTAATACATGCAGGCCATTAGAATTTGTCTCAAAAATTATCATTACCATTGTTTTAACAAACCAAAACAATAGCGATACTTGTAATATTTCGTGAAACCAAGCATCATAGCATCTTATGAAAAGCCATGCTGTGGAGTAGACAGAGCCTGACTTTGAGATGGAACATCTAGTTTCAAACTCATGCTCTAAAACTTATTGACTCTGTTTTTACCCATTTCCCTCACCTCTATGTTATCATCCATAAATACATAGAAATAACATCCTCCCCTCACCATCTTATGAAGAAGCCATTCATAAAAATATTTTAATATAGGAACTATTTTATATAAGAATTTTTAATATACAGCAAGAAGAAATGAGTTGAAGTATATTAAAAATACAATAGACAGAAGGGAACACTAAGTGCAGAACAACAGAGCAGGTGGGAAAACTTCCCAGGGGGCATGATGTTGCAGTAGGGTTCTGAAGAATGAGAACGCGGGGCCCAGTGGCTCAAGCCTGTAATCCCATCACCTTGGAAGGACGCGGGAGGATTGCGTGAGGCCTGGAGTTCTAGACCAGCCTGGGAAACATGGCAAGATCTCCATCTACAAAAAAATTTAAAAATCAGCCAGGTGTGGTGGTGCATGCCTGTATTCCCAGCTATTTGAGAGGCTAAGCAGGAGGACTGCTTGAGCCTAGGAGTTCAAGGTTACAGTGAGCTATGATTGCACCACTGTACTCTACCTTGGACAACACAGCAAGATCTTGTCTCAAAAAAAAAAAAAAAAAAAAAAAAAGAAAAAGAGAAGGAGACATTTACTAGTGTTTAGAGGTATTTTTAAAAGCATGTTTGGAGATCAGTGAATTGAGATGAGATTATACGCAAAGTCTCTTTTAAGCTGTAAGTTGCTATTACATGCAAATGTTTGTGGAACTCAGTGATCAAAATGTCATGCTAGGCCGGACACGGTGGCTCACACCTGTAATCCCAGCACCTTGGGAGGCCAAGGCGGGCACACCACCTGAGGTCAGGAGTTTGGGACCAGTCTGGCCAACATCATGAAACCCCGTCTCTACTAAAAATACAAAAATTAGCTGGGTGTGGTGGTGCACATCTGTAATCCCAGCTACTTGGGAGGCTGAGGCAGGAGAATCGCTTGAACCCAGGAGGTAGGGGTTGCAGTGAGCCAAGATCGCACACTGTTCTCCAGCCTGGGTGACAGAGCGAGACTCCATTTCAAAAAAAAAAAAAAGCCATGCCAAGGAGTTGTGACCTTATCTGTAGGTTGAGGGTTAACGAGAAGTTGTTTACACAAAGCATACTTTATGAAATGTAAAGAAATAAGCAACATTTTCCATTTTGAAGAATGATAAACCTAGAAATCTCAAAGCCAACCCAAAATCTAAAAGAAAAATTTGAAGTCATATAGAAATAACTTTTTTGTAAAGTTTTTTATTTGTTTTACTTGTATAGAAAAGTATACCAGACACTTAGGAAGAAAACAAACAAACATTCTTTCACTCGGGAAAACTGTCCTGAAATGACTCTACGATACAAAGAGAAGATCGAGAGCTTTTGTTCAATTGGGAGAGGTAATATCTGGAACCGGCTCAGCATCTCTCCTTTGCCTTTGTAAATGGTACCAATTCAAAACAAATGGAAGAACTATGAAACTGAGAATTACTCATATGAGTTTGGGAAATGACTGTCCTCTCTTTGTCCTGTTATCAACACACATTTTGCCTTATCACATATTTTAAAATTTAATTATTAGCCCAGATCACACTTGTGATCGTCACTTTCTTCTAAGACTGAACTTAGCTTCCAAGAGATTTCTTCAATCTAAAATTGACTTAATTTTTTTTTTTCCTTTTTCGTTTGTTTTTTTTGAGACAGGGTTTCATTCTGTTGCCGGGACTGAGCAACTTTGAGCTCCTAGGCTCAACCTATCAGCCGGTTTCTGCCTTCCAAAGTGCTGGGATTACAGGTGTGAGCTACTGCACCTAGGCAATCTTTTCACTTTAAATGAAATACTTCATTCTTAGAAGGATGTATCATCAGTCTAAAGCCAAGATCAGGCAAAAAGAAGTTTAAACTAATATGTCCTTGTCATTACCTCTCCAATAGGGTGTATTTTGGCTGTTCCTGAAGTCTCATCAGACTAGTTTTAGCACTTATTATATTCAAATTTTTATAGTTCCCAACACATTTTTTATGCCAAATCCTTCTTTTTTTGTTTACCCCCATAAAGTCCATATTCTGGAAATGTTAGTCACAAAAATGTATTTGTTAAGCAATAATTTTTACTCTTTTAAAAAAAAATAAATCGGCCTGGCACGCTGGCTCACACCTGTAATCCCAGCACTTTGGGACGCCGAGGCAGGAGGATCACAACGTCAGGAGATCGAGACCATCCTGGCTAACGTGGTGAAACCCCATCTCTACTAAAAATACAAAAAATTAGCCGGGCTTGTTGGCGGGCCTGTAGTCCCAGCTACTCAGGAGGTTGAGGCAGGAGAATGGCGTGAACCTGGGAGGTGGAGTTTGCAGTGAGCCGAGATCACGCCACTGCACTCCAGCCTGGGCGACAGAGCAAGACTCCCATCTCAAAAAAAATAAATTGAATTAAAAATTAAAAAAAAATAAAATAAATCAAGGGCTTAAATAGTTACTAATTAGGGAATCTGATCAGCATAGGAGAGCTACTATTAACAAATTATGTTGATATAATTCTAGCCAAGAGCAAATAAGTTGAACATTTTAAGATTTCTTGAACATTTCCGAAATTTTGAAGATCATTCAATGACATGTTATTAATACTACCTTTACCCACTAGACATCCTCAGACCCCCAGGTAGGAAACTATATGCAGGATTAAACAAAACGTATGAAATAGACAAAAACAGGAAGCAATATAGGTTCTCATTCATTCATTCATCAGAAAAACAACTACTGGATACATATCATTGATCAGGTACTTTGTCTTGCATAAACATACTTTCAAGAAGACATCAAGAAAGACCCAAGTCAAGAAAAAATAAACTGTAGAAAGTTCTAAGATAGATTTTAATCCCTCTGAAGTAGTAGAATCAAATTCACACCCCACTGTAGCTCCATTTCAAACATCCCTACCACTAGAAATCTTTTCATCTCATTTGAAGCCATGATTATAATTGACTTCACAGGAGGACTGAAAGATATTTGGTTATGAGGTGTGCAACATTTGTATGTCATGACTCTCGTGACATAAATGAGATGTTCTCTTAGCCCCGAAGGATAATAAGCACAGATGATCACAGATGATCAAGGTTTCCCTGGAGAACTTGTTTCCAGTTTCAGAGGAACTGTAAGACCTGAAAGAAACTGTAAAAGGAGTATCTGTGAAAAATTAAGAATCATAGAACCACAGAATCACAGAATTAGAGGAAGCATAAACATAATTCATGGTTCATAGTAAGCCTATGAGAGACAGCTGATAGATGAATAGTCTCCTGTCTCCCAAATAATGGCCTATGTGCAGTAATGAGCAATAGACCTTACACGGGTATGTGTTGAAATGAGAAAAATAAAGGCAATGTAGTAAAGTGTCTTCTTGTTTTGTTTGAGAGGAATGTGCAATCCCTTTGAATAGAGAAAAATACACAATAATAAAATATTTTTTTCTTCTTGTATCCAGAATTAACAAATGAGAACATTTTAGCATACTTGTATTATCATTTTTTACATAAAGAAATAAATTATTGTGGATAAAGTTGAAGTCCCTTTTAAACACCTCTCCAGTCCTATTCTCCTTCCCCTAATCAGAGATAACCACTCTCATGTGTTGATATTTCTTCGAGTTCACGTGTGTGTGTGTGTGTGTGTGTGTGTGTGTGTGTATCAATACAGAATGTAGAGCATTGGTTGTGTTTTAATTTATATAAATGGTATATATTGTATAAAGCTGGATTTACTTACTATTCTAGAATGATCCTTCATTCTTACATTATTTCTTTTCTCTTCTTGAATTATCCTTTATTTTGTTAAATGGTGGTAATTATAAGTGGCAATTAAAATGTCCTAAATTGGCAAAATTAAAAGGTGACAGTCTATATTTCTATAATGACCCCTTGCTCATTTTTTTAAATGATTCCGAAAATCCAAGAGAAGGATAGTGCTGCTATAGGTCAACCACGATGTTCCTGCCACATGGCCATCAACCCTCTTCTTGAACACCTCCAGGGATGGGCATGTTACTTGGTAATGTGGCACCATCTCTAAGGAGCTATGTTAGAAAATAATCTTCTGAGTTGATCTGAAATCTGTTTTTGTATGGCTTCTACCTATTGGCAATATTTAATACTTTGAGGTTACACAAACCAAAACAAATTTAGTTCTCCTTCTTCACAGAAGTACTTCAATCACACAAAGAACCTACAAAATTTTCTCTGAATCTCCTTTCCTAGAAATTAAGCATCCTCATTTCCATCAACTATACCTCATATCATACGGATCTAAGTAGCAAAGAGCTGTACTCACACTCGCTTCCACTTGATCATTCACCATTGGCAGGAGCTATTTATTTATATAGGAAGGCTCAAAATGTCGATGCGGCTGTTGCTACCTGTAAGAACATGATTGATTGAAACAGCTCATCTGCTTTTGATCTTGCAACAGAAGGACTGCCATCTCCAATTGCTGACAAAATACATTTGTCAAGTTCAACAGATATCCCAAGGTATCCATGCAACTCTGAAGCTACAGGGCTAATTGGTGATAAATTTGGGATTAGAACCCAAAGGCTTTGAGATTCTAGCTATTCTTTCCCATGTGAAGGAATATCATATAGTATTGGTTTGGGCCAAATAAATGAGAAATAGCCAAATCAAAGGGAAAAACCATGCTCAGTAATTTTCTCAGTGTATTTGAAGCATTTTTTAAAGGAGAGTTTGGTTTTTCTAGGTTTACTTTCTTTTGCTGTTTTTGAGACAGGATCTTGCTCTGTCACCCACACTGGAGTGCAGTGGCACAATCATAGCTCACTGTAACCTAAAACTCCTGGGCACAATCCATCCTCCCGCCTCAGCCTTTCAGCTAGCTACTACCACAGGCGCATGCCACCACACCCAGCTAATTTTCCTATATTTTTGTAAAGATGGGGGTCTCTCTATGTTGCCCAAGCTGGTCTCAAACTTCTGAGATCAAGAAATCCTCCCACCTCAGCCTCCCAAAGTGCTGGGATTATAGGCATGAGCCTCCATGCCCAGCCTGCTTTCTTATCCATAACAAAATGGAATGCTTGCGGCCTACAATGTTTCTTCAAGTTGACTATGAAAAGGTTAAAACTTAGTTCTGTTATTTTTAATCCCCAGAATGGAGTCCTTGTGCTTTTGCCAGTAATGCTGGCCTCTGCCCGTGGCTTTCTTCCAAATCAGGTGTGTTGACTCAGCTTCCAAACAGCATTTGCAAACATTTTTGGAGTATATCCAATTCCAGGATACACAGTTCACCAGGGCCTTCTTTTACTCCAGGACTGCCTGATGCCATCAGCAAAAGCATTCTTTACAAAAATGCAAGCTGTTATTTTCATATAATATTCCAAGGAGATCAGTAACAATATGTGTAAAGGGCAGGGGATGATTCATAGCTGCCCACTCAGCTCCCAAGGAAGTTTCCGAGGCTGATGTTGAATCGTTCCACATAGCTATTGGCATAAGGGCCTTGGAAGCTGTTCTGATTGCAAAAGCAGTCCTCTCAGTTTCCTGAGGATGGTGATGAATGTCCCCGCTTGAGGACCTTAGTTTACTGGAAAAATGTGGCATTTGATAAAAATTTGAACACAGGTATGTTTTCTTCCTAGAAGATTAAGTGCTCATTTCTCTGTGGGTAGCGAATGCAGATTTTGGTGAACTGAGAAGTTTCTTTTATTCTGAGACCAAGCCCTAGCCACTCTCTATCATTGACTCTCTAATAAATTACTATACAATTTTTAGTGCACATATAAGCCTGAATTTAAAATGCTAATAAAGAAGCACAGTTTTATGAAACTCTATCAAGCATGCATGTGGATTTTTTAGCGGCGTCAGATATTCCCTAAAAGTTACCAAAATAGGTGCTCATTTCCTTTGATGACTTCTTTGAAATGGATTGTTGGTTGAAATCCAATGAGTACTGGCAGATTTCCACCTCCCAGAGAGGGCTATGGTAATTACAACTTGTTGGCATTCTTTTCAGCAATTTCAGAAGGGATACCAAAAATTAAGCACTCAAAGAGGTTGAATCATCCTTTCACCCTTGAATGTACTCACTTCCTTTGGTTCTGGCCAGAGCTTTTTTGGAAGATATTCCTATGAACTTCCGTTGCTGGTGTAAGCAGTAGAAAAACAGAAGGCAACAACCAGAATTGGGTTGCCACAACAGAAATAAAGATAAATGCTTCTAACCCACTGAGTTAGTAGGAAATGGTGGGAGGGAGTAGGGGATTCCAGCCATAGTTGTTATGCTCTTTATATCTGTACTTAGTACAGATGTGGCACTAAACTATTAGAGGTGTGGTGGA